>NC_000009.12:33646363-33797878 GCF_000001405.40 Homo sapiens | reverse complement strand
TCCCCTCCAGGACTTTGATGTTGTGCTCTCCCAGTCTCACCTGGATGCGGCTGATGGGCAGGGCAGGCATGGTGAAGACCTTCTCCCACAGCCTGGGCACCCCTCCCACCTTCCCCAGGGTCCTCAAGCTCACTGCTCATGGATAGCTCTGGAGGCATGGGGTGGGGTGTGTGGCCATATTGCATGGGCAGGAGAGGGATGTGGGTCAGTGCAGGTGTGAGACCCAGGACCTTTCTGCTTCAGAGGCTGGTGGTAGTGGGGTGGGGAAGAGTCAAAGGGATCCCACCAGAGGCTGCTCCTCAACCTGCCTTCCCAGCCTCTTTCCCACAAATCTCCACAGTCACTAGCACTGTGGGCACAAAGAGCTCCTCGTAGTTTTCCCAGCATTCTTCACCCCAGGTCTTTGCTAACTGCGCACAGCGCCTGTTCCTCCCTCCCTTCTTGGCCTAGTGAGCACCACCCTTCTGTGTAATCTAATCCAAGGGTAGCCATAGCATTAGCATCTCCTGGGAACTTGTTAGAAATGTAAATTCTTGGTCCTTACCCCCACCCGCTGATCAGAACCTTGGGGATGGGACCCAGTGATTTGTGCTTTAATAAGCCTGCAGGTGGTTTTGACGCATACTCAGGTTTGAGAGTTCTTCGTGTAGGCAGCGGTTCTCAGCTCTGTCTATACACTCTACAGTTACCAGAGGTAGAGTGTTAAATACTCACTGGTATTCACACTGTCTTCCTGAGAAGTTTGAGTTAATTGCCCTGGGGTAGGACACAGGCATCAGTATTTTCAAAAACTCTGTCTTAGGTCGCTTTAATGTGTAGCTAACCAGCAAAAGGTACTTGCCTGCTTTTGTCACTAGCTCTGACAACTCCAAGATTATCCCTGCCTGCTTTTATGACCACAACCCTTGCTGTTTCATGGATTGGCCTTGCTCTGGAGAGTCAGCTGCTGTCAACAAGTTTTCTTTTCCACCACCTCTCCCATCCGTCTTACCCAACCTCAGTACTTCCCTGGGCTGAAGCCAAGCTCTCCCAGGCAGCCTGGCTGGGAGCTTTGCAGTCAGGGGCCCCACACTTACGTCTTGTAGCAGTGAGCTGCTGATACCACCCACTGTTCGCTGATGAGGGAGCCACCGCAGAAGTGGGAGCCAGAATTCAGGGACACCTGGTAGGGGAGAGAATTCTCCTCACAGGTGTAGCCCCCAACAATCTTGTCATCATCGTCAAAGGGGACAGCAACTGGAGTGGAAATAGGAAGGGAGAAGGCAAGTCAGTAGCATGTTAGGGGTGGTGCTCCCAGCCTGCGGTTGCTTCCTGCCAATTAGAAATCCTTAACAAGCCCAGTGAGGCCAGGCAAGGGAGGGAGCGCTGCCACCCCTGGTGAGCATCACTGGATGTGGCTCCCAAGTCTCTGTGTCTGCAGGGCACGTAGCTAGGTACCCTGCAGGGGCTCAGATCTCTCCTGGGGACACCAGGCTGAGGATGCAAGGAATGTCCTCAAAATGCTTCCAGTGGGGTAGCAGTTGGTATGTTGTTGTCTCACCCACTGAGTGCTTCTCTCTTTTATTCATCACCTGTGTACTTGCCCTGGCTATTTGAGCCCTGGATTGTCAGGATACTTTGGCTAAGCTAGGAAAACCCCCTGTCTGGGTAGACCTGGCCATGACTAGCTTCCCCCATAGCTCAGATCTGTGCAGTGAGGGCAGAGTTGAGGGCAGCCCCAGGCTCACTTTGGCATAACAAAGGTAGACTTTGTTATTGGCCAATAGAAGAGCAATTCTTAACTTTGGCGGCATGCCTGGAAACGTTAAAAATCACCTGGGAAGCTTAAAAGCCCAGTACACAGGCTGCACCCCAGACAAATGAAGTTAGAACTTCTAGAGTTGAATCTCTGGCATGAGTAATTTTTGAACCTCCCCAGGTGCATTCGAGGTTAAGAGCAGCTATAGTGGTGCTATACTGGTGCTCTTGGAGCCAAGCCTGAAGCCTGCCACTTCATTTCATGGGCCAGCCCCACCTGGTCTCCCTTCCCAGCTTCTCCAACCACAGCTCGGATATGGATGAATGACAGTGGTGGGAGTGAAATGAGGGAAAAGGTGAAACAGGTGAGGCTTAAAGAGAGCCCAAGGAGGATGGGAAGGAGATATGTCAGATGGAGGAAATAGAATATCAGAGCGCAGTCAAAAGAGGAGAGGTGGCAAGAATGGCAGGGCATGTGTCTGCCAGGAAAGGGGGTGGGTGGGGCCTGAGGCAGGTCATGAAACTCGCCAGCAGCTCCCACAAAGGCAAGGATCAGGAATGGATTCATGGTGGTAGAGTGTGCCTGACTGGTGGTGGAAGGCCTGTCCTTATACCCTTCCAAGAATCAGGAGAGGAGGTGTCTGTGAGGTGAGGGTCACAGTTCTTCCCAGCACAAACACACCTGCAGCTTTCCCCTTGCCAGGGTCTTGCATCAGCTCGGCTACGTTTGGCCACTCTGTGGGTTTGTGATTCACAGGTGATAAGGAAACTTGCCTTCTGAGAGCAGAGAGGGAGACTGGCTATTTCCTGGAAGGATGCTGGGATGGGGAAGACAGGGGAAACCAATCCCCGGATCACACAGCTGGGCTTTCGTAGGCCGAGGAGATGAGGGTTAGAAGGAGGGAGAATGGCCTGGGTGTCTAGGAGTCCTTTTAACTATTGGGGATGTATTTAATAATGTACTTAAGGAAGGGCAAGCATTGGTAACAAGCTTGGCTTTTCAGTTTCCTGGAGCCCCCACGAGAGGAGGAAAGTCTTATCTAAGGCTCATTTTTGTGAATATGAATATGCTTCTTTGCAGTCACTGTGCACAAAGGTCAAATCCAAGACTTTGGGTATCCAGAATTCCAACACTAAGGGGTAAGGAGAAGGGAGACTTAGCATTCCATAGGATTCTGGGCTTCCAGATGGCTCTCCTTCCTACCAAGGCTTAAAAGGATGGGAAGTGTTTCAAAGAAGGAGGGGACACAGGTTAGGTAGGAGCTTACTCAGTGCATCTGGAGGATGGAAAACCAATGGCGCACTCCTCCCCTTCTTCAATGTGAAGCCACTTGTCTCTCTCATGTGCATCCTGTCATAGGTTCTTTTTATGCAGCCTCACGGTTGTCCTGGCAACCTGCACTTAGGGTGATGCAAACTGACTCACCTGCTCAGGGCTGACAGCCTGAACCAGAATGACATGCCCCTGATCAGATGTCAGAGTTTGGACCATGGTAAATCTGGGTTACCATCTGATCTGAGAATCAGCAGTAGGTAGAGATTTTAGCACATGGTAAATGGGTCACATATTGGGATCAATAAGAAGATGTGGAGGGGTGGGTCTAGAATTTTCTATTTTAGATGCAGTGAGATTATGCTGGGCTTAGTATCAAGTGAATCTTCCCAGAGAATATCCTGATTTGGGCCCTACCAAGGCTACTAAGACACAGTTGTGTAATTGACTGAGGCACAACCTGGCCAGAGTAGTGTGGAGATGGAGATGCTGTCTGTGATCAAGTCTAATGATGTAAGGAAAGGAGGAGCTTCCTTATGAGGGTGCTTTCCCTTCTCAGCAACTCTGAGCTCAGGTTGGTGATGGGCAGGAGTGAGCAGAGTTCAAGTTTAAATTCTTTGAAAAGTAAAAGAAGCAGAGATGTTCTGGAGATGGTGAACAAAATGAGAAAAGCTCAGAAACTTCGTGTTGAGATCGGACATGGCCAGGGGGCTAGAGGGAGGAAGCAAATGGAAACCAGAGGGAATTGGAAAAAATGCGAATGTGGGGCCCGTGGAGTTGAGAGGACACACAGAGTACCTTCAGGTTCAGCTCCTGGCATGGCCAACGAGCCAGCTTCCCCAAAGCCAGGAGATCCACTGCTCAGAGACCCGCTCTCCACCCCACATCCCCTCTAATCACTGATGGGCTCATACCTAACACTGCTGTACTTAGATGGTGCATGGTGCCTGACAGCTTTACAAGAGTTTTCACATAAGCAACAGTGGTACATTGCTTTTCAGTTATGCTGAGTTTCACAGTTTGACTTCCCACAAACATGCTAATTGTGATTTGTGCAGAGCAAAATTATTTCCATTTATAGAGGAAGAGACTGAGATTCAGAAGGATTCTGTCTTGCCCAAGAATACAGATCTTGGCAGAGCTCACCATAAGGCCAACGGAAGCCATGGAGATCATTGTGAACTGTGGGAATTGCTGCAGGTGACATCTAAAAGGAGATTTATTGAGGATCAAGGCAGAGGTCCCCAGAGGACAAACTGTGCATCTGATTCCTTCCTCCTGCTTTTCTTCCTGGCAGAAATAGATGATTGAATTCATCTTTCTCCTGGCACCTTGTCTCAGAGACTTCCCTTGCCACAGTTCCAGACCCATCCAGGCCATGACTGCCATGTAGATGACACACCTCTCTGCTCACAAATGACTGGCCAAGCCTGAGGTATCCAGGTTTTGGAGCATTGATAATATGGGTTTTTCCTGTGTTGCCCCTAAACATGTTGTTTCATTTTGTCCCCTTGTCATGGGGTCTTCACACAACTCCTGCCTTAGAGGATAAGGAAAGGCTCTTGCTGTAGCAACTGTAGACACCAGTGTGCACTAAATAGGGAGGTGAACCTTGGCAGAAGATGGAAACTTTTTTTGGAGAACGGGATTTTTGGATCAGTGCTTGTGGCTCTGACTCTGTCTGAAAGGAACACCCAAGAATATGAGGATTTTCTGTATCTAGAGCTTGAAGATTAGCCTTCTCCAGTATTTTGCGCTCTTCCTTAAATGATCACAGTATAGTCTGAGGTCAGCTTTCTTCAAAAAGGAATGACCTTACAGGCAGAGAAGATAGCTATAGGTGGAGACTGTTACCTCATACTGTAGACTCAGATGTGTAGGATAGGTTCAGATCCAGCTGCCCAAGCTCAATTTGGAGGACATGCCATTCTTGGTACTCTTCATCCTGAACTAGAGATTTCTTTGTCTTCTTCTCTAAGACATCTTTCTGGCTTGTACTGAGTGCTTAGCACATCAAACCACTGTCCTTCAATTTTGATAACAGTGAATCAATTCTGTGTGCTTACTATATACCATGTTACTATACAGCATGTAACTCATATAAGTTAAGAATTTTTTCTTCATTTTACATTACAACCACTTATGCGATTGCCCATTTTCCAGGTGATTAAATGAGCTTTCTGGAGGTAAAGTGACTTGCTCAAGGCCACACAGCCAGTAGGTTTTAAAGATGGGATGTAAGTATGGTGGTCTGACTCTAGGGCCTCCATGCTCTGCCATAGGGCATTCTGCTTTGCCTCCTCTGAGCTGATCCTTGGTGCACCCTCACTGAGGTGGTAGGCAGCAGATATTGTTCTCTCCTTTTTACAAATCAACAATCTAAAACTCAGAGTTCAAATGACTTCTCCAGCAAAGATCATACTAGAACCTTCCCTATTCAGACAAAGTTTGTTCCTCTTCACGTTGCTACATGAGTCTTTCAGACCTCATAGTAGTCTGAAAAGTGTCAGATTCCAAATTCTTTTTTTTTTAACACTTTCTTCTCCAAATCCCACCAGATCTTTCTCCTAAGCTCTTAGTCAACTCCTCCTTGGGTTCCAGCATCCTTTATCATTCTGCAAACAGATTGTCAGATTTTAGGCTGTCTTCCCGCCAAACTCCCAGCTCCTCTCCTCATCCATTATTTTTCTTTTTTTCTAAGCTTCTTATCTCCCCCACGGCACAATTTCGCTTTATCCAATAAGGAATTGTTTTTGTTACTATCTCATCCCAGGAATCACTGAATCTGGAGAGTGAAGGGAGTGCTCTGTATGATCCAGAAAAGTCTGACTTGTAATATGGAGTCGCAGAGCATGAACTGGTCAAGGCTGATCAGCTAAATGGAGTAGCCCATTCCTCCCTGCCTGCCTCCTGCCCCTCCTCTTGCCTGCCCCTTGCCCCTCCTTCTGCCTGCCCAGCTGCTCCCCACCTTGAAGCCATGGAAGACATGCAAGTTTTATGCCCGGAGGGAAGTTTATAGTTCTGTTTATTCTTCAGGCTTCCATGTATGGGTAAATGGGGAAGCCTCTAGCACTTGAGACTAAACCTAAATTATTTTAAGGATAGATTGATTGCTGTAATATAATGGTGAGTCTTTCTGTTCACATTTCAGCCACTCCTTGACCACTCTCTTGTTTGGCCTATTAGAGCTGCTTAAGTGAGTCCAGGCTCCCTTAGACAGGAAGCAGAAGAAAGCCAGGACAGAGTGCAGGAGAAACACCCATATAGATTCTTATGATTGTAACATCTAGGATCTGTTTCATGATACTCAGAGTTTAATATATGGTGTATGTATTTATTTTTCTAAATTATACTAGCTCTAAATTGAGGCTCACAAGCTGGGTTTGGTGATAAATCCAGTCAACTGGGTTCCTTCTACTCATTTAGCTTATAAAAGTCTAGACTGTGTCATCCATTTGGAAGGCAGCCAACGGGTCAGTCATTTCCTCAAGATCGTCTTGGCCAGGAGGGCCTTCAAAAGGCTCCCAAGGCTCAGAACTGAGTGCTCCATCCACACAGGCACCAGCACAATTCCAATTGAGAACCTTCCACCCCAGAGCCACTGTGTTTGAGCAGGTTCTGCACTTTGCTTCTCTGTAGAACCCATATCATCTGTTCCATTTCCCAGTCTTGGGTAAGGCAGCAGAAGGGGATTGGCACATGACATGTGTACCTTTCTATTCAAATACAAAGCTTGTTATCTGTAGTCTTCCTACAGTTCTGTAAAACACTGGAAGTTATTCCTCCTATCTAGCTGTAATTTTGTGTCCTTTAATCTTTTCCTATCCTCCCCGCAACTAAAACATAAATTTGAAACAAGAATAAAAAATATAAAGTTTGAAGTGCTTATTCCTTTCCTGTTAGAATAATCTAGTTAATTTTCTTATGGGCTTAGATTATCTAAACTCAAATGCCTTTGTAGAGTTTTCCTCCAGGGAAATCCACTGCAGCTGTATAAATTTTCCTCTTTTCTTTGAAATCATATTTATTTACTCACAAATATTTATTGAATTCCTGGAGTGATATTCCAGGAGTTCTTCTAGGCTATTTGGAAGCAGCAATGAAGAAGATAGAAAAGGTTCTTGTTTCAGTGCATTTGTGAGTACACGTGCATGCATTTATGCACATGTGAGGAGGTATAGAAATGGGATGCACATACATCGCTTTCAGTAAATGATGAGTATATATTAGTAAAATAGGATAAAGTGATAATATAATATGGGATGACTGCTGAAGTGCTTTTACGTAGAGTGGAAGGGTCTCTTTGGGGAGGTGGCATTTAAGTTAACACCTGAATAAAAAGGACCAGCCATCTGCAGGTAGAGTTAGGAGGGCTTTCATGGTTTACTTCTGAGTCTGTAACAGAAATAATTCAAAACACACAACCAATTGCTATTTAAAATTAAATAACCCTGTCATCTAGCCTATGGATATATACCTTGTCATGGGTTTTGATTGTATGAAGGATGGTCATCAGTGTATTGAACTATTCTTATTAAAGTTAATGTAAAATATTTTTGACATGAAATGATATTCATGAAATATTGTTGGGTTAAGGGAATAAATTCTAAAACTACATATTGTATGATCTAATTGTATTAAACTGAACGATTTTGACTTTTTATTTTGATAATATGCATATTTTATAATACCACAAATTTTTTATGTAATTAAAATAGCTAAAAGAGAAACAATTATAATAATAAAATTTTCTGAGAGCGGGTCATACTTATTCTTGAGGAAGGAATTGCTAGTGGTAAAATATGTTTTTATAGTGAGAAATACGTTTAGGTAGCAACTACACTAATTGCATATTTTGTCTCTGTGTGCTTTTTATGCAGATAATTGCATCACTTTCTTATAAAAAAACCCTACATTTAAAAACTCACTATTATTCTTATTTTCTATGGAGAAATTAAGGCATGGAGAAATTGTGTAACTTGTTAAGGTTACACCTAGTGTTAAAGAAGAACCAAGTTTTAAACTTAGGTCTGTCACTTGATAAAGTTCAAGTTCCTAAGCACAGTGCTTTACTGCTTTTAAAGAGGCAATTTTGTAATATAGGAAGGTGCTTCATAATCCAAGGCTTCACTGTAGGTAAATTTGTCAACTTCCTATGGTAATGGGAGCATCGAGCAGGAAGGTAAGCTAGCACTGAACCCATGACATAAAATGGGTATACATGTGCATTCCTGTGACCTGGAGAATTAGTACACGTGGAAACTGGAGAAGGCCCATGACACCTTACATGGACCAGAAACTAGATAGGAATCACTCCTTCATAAAGTGAGGTACACAAAGAGATACACAGTTAGTGAAAGGATGAGCTAGAAAACTAATCCTAGAAACAGTTAACAAAGAATATTATTTATCTTGGTCTTGGCTTTGGGTGAAGGATTTAAAAAAAATTCCTCTGAATATTCATGGTCGCTGAACAGTCAGCCCATTGGGGTTTGAGATAGACATTCTGTGACCAAGAAGATATCTACTGAGAATTATAAAAAAAGTGATATTAGGTCTGTAGCGCCCCAATTTCTTGACAGAGGCAAGCATGAATATTTCTTAGAAAACCCACTTTTACTCCAGTATTTAAAGAATTCTGAAAGATGAATTGACATCAAATTAAATAATGCCCAAGGAAATAGGCCACCCTGAGTGAGAGCCAGCAGACTACTAAAAACCAGATGCAAAAAGGTATCAAATGCTGGCATTGTCAGATAAGAATTCCCAGTAGATGCTTAATATACTTATAAAAAGAAAATAGTTTTAAAATACACAAGGAGTAAGATGCTTTCAAAAATGGCCACTCATATTTGTAAATGACCCAAGTGGATTTTCTAGAAATAAAAATTAATATAATTTAGATGAACAAAGTCAGCTGAAAGATTAAATTAGAGGCTTACTGGAGCTGAGGTGTGAATTAGTAAACTAAACAGTAGTTTTAAAGAAATTACCCAGATTGTAGCATAGAGAAGCAAAAAGAAGAAAAATATGACTGAATAGGTAAGGAGACTAGATGATAGTATGAAAGAAAATTGAACATAAGATATAGCTATACTTCTGGCCATCTCTTCTTCAATAAAATATGGACAACAATCAGGTATACCAATTTAAGTTTTGGCCCCGAGAGGATTTCCCTTCACCACTACCTTTCAGAACCATACTTGGTTAGACTGTAATGATCCTTCCAGAATAACGTGAAGACCCATCTAAAACAATGAGCTCATGTTTCTCAACTGGAAATATGGAATTTCCATAAAACTTAGGTGTGGTTTGAAGGTAAGAGGAGAAAAGTATGAGTAGGGTACCGTGAGACTCAGATGTGCTCTTGAAATTGAATTGTGCCTTTTTCCAGCTGTGCTTAAGTATGGTCTTGATTATATATTTTCCATTTAATAACAGAGAGAATGCTCTGGGCACAACCAAATTCAGTTTTGCAGATCAGATAATACCTTGTTCTGAATGCCATTATAAGGCATCCATTACAGAGCCAGGAGCAACTTTTCAAAAGAAGAAGAGGGGGTCGTTGGCTGGTAAGAGTATGGCTTTAACCAAAACTCTGCACCTGTCTGCAGGGCAATTCTCCAGGTGGCCTTGGACAAACTCAGTACTCCCCAGTTTCTTGCTTGTAGTTCTCAAGAATAACTGTACAATGTTCTGGGAATGTAACATCCTGAGATAAGGAGGAACTGTCCAGAATAGCCAGGGCTCTGTTCCAGTCCCTTCTAGAAATAGAATGTCCTTCAGTGCTTTGCCAAGCATGTCAAGTTGCTCTGTGATATAAAACCCAGGGTGGCTGCTCTCTGAGGTCCCCCAGTGGCAGTGCAAGTAGGGAAGGCACAGACAAGATTTCATCCACCCTGGACAGCTTTCCTGAGCCTAGTGGGACTGGCTTTCCCTGAATCTTAGGCCTCTGTTTTCCCTTGCTGCCTGTGTGTAAGTAATAAACACTCTTCGTGTAATTTGTGTGTGAGAGCATTCTTTCTCTCTGGGGTCTGGAAAGCAACAAAAGTGTAGCCCAAGATGCAGTGGTCTGAAGTGCAAATCAGGGCACAGTGAACCTGTTCCACACTGCCTTGTGATTCTCTTACTGGGGAATGTCAGGAGCTCCACAGAGCATCTGTATCTACCATAGGCTCTTCAGGAGCAACTGGGTCTGCTTAGTCTATGGCCCAAGCAGCAGGAAGCTTTTATCATGGGCTTGTTCTGCCACAGAACCCTCTCTTTCCCTGGCCCCAGCTTTACAGATTACATAGTAAACGGAATAGAGTAGCACAATCAAATGCAGTATATCCAAAGTTTAATTCAAAGTCCAAAGACTAAGCATTGCATCTCTTTCTCTGTGGTAGATGATCTAAGGTGCAGCAGCTTACTTCTCACATTAGAGGAGATATTTCAACATGCCCCAAACCTCTGGACCACTCCAAAACTCACCAGTATAGAAGGTTCCTGAACTTTGCAGATTTTATATTGGTCTGGGATGCATGTGTCATATTGTCATACTGAGGCATCTAGAGGGCTTTATAATTCCTATCCACGGAGAACAACCAGATGTCATTAATGTAATACCAGCTTTGTTTCAAGATGACTAAAGTTCTTCCAAAATATATTATGATAGAAAACCAGCTAAATAGAGCCTTGAGATAAAACAGTTAAAGGCTATTACTGACCCTGCCACTTGAAGGAAACTGTATCTGATTGTTTTTATTGGGTATTTCTGAGCACCCTTCTAGAAGAAATTTTACCCTCAGCTTTCCAGGAGCCACTCTTCCTGACTGTGGATAGAACACTGCAGCTAGTCCTGCAGATGCTCTCCTCATCCCCAGTCTATCCATTCATACCCATGCCCACCTACAAGCACAGAAGCAGCTGTGTCTACCCAAGAGCTGTGGTTTCCTCTTCTGTCCCACCTTGACAGGGCCCTCAGGTTCATGTGAGGGGAGCTGGGTAGAAGGGAGCTGAGGTTCTTGCTTAGATCTTTGATCTGTGCCCTGCACTGTGTCTTCAACGCTGCAGAGGTATATGCTGCTGTCTTCAGGTCTCCTGTTGCTCACAGTCAGAGTTGAGAATGTTAGGTTTGGGCGGCTGATGGGAAACTTGTCAATGACAAATCTGCTCTCATATGTGGCCTCAGAGCCCTGATTTGCAGTTGCAATCAGTGTCACGCTCTGTCCAGGTTGCTGACAGTACCAGAACATCATGGTGACTTGGCTGTCGACTTGACACTGGATCATCATGGAGGTTCCACGTTGACAGATATCCCTGCTTGGCTTTTGAGAGATGACAGCACTGAACACAGAGCCTAGTTCCAGAGAGATATTCATGAGGGCCGACAAGCTTGGGGTCAGACGGGAAAGTCTCTGCTTTATCTCTCCAATACCACCTCAGCTCCCAAAGGACCCCAGGGCACTGCCTCCTTTTTATTGTGCCGACAATTACTCTGTTATGGTCCTTTAATCTAACATATCCCCTTCATCTTCTGTCTGGTGGCTTCAGACTCTCCGGAGAGGAAGTCTTTCCACCTCTCTACCCAGCATTAACATTAACCCCAGACTCCTCACAAGTCAAGGCTCATACCTAATCCCCGGAGAAGGAGCAGGAGACAGCATCTTCAAGTGATGGCCTCTCCCCTGAGAAAAGGCACTAAGAAGTGAAACTCAAGTTCATCTTTCCTTCCTACAGCGTAGTTCTTTCCCGCTCTGTTTCTCTCCTCTAATAGGTGGTTGAGTTTCTGCAGGATATGCAAAAACCAGTCTTCCCCCTGGTGGAACTGTGTGGCTCTTCACTCAGGATGAGTCTTCATGCACAAGCCTTGCAGCATGCACCGGCCACTTACCACCGTTCTCCCATTACTTTTCCATCTGCCATTACTGAACACCAGTCTGTGCTACTGTCTGGGTGTAGAGCAAAAAGTGGGGTGCAGAACTGACTTCAAAGAACTAAAGGTAATAGGTTAGAATATAAGGGAACTCCATAACAGTATTTCAACTGTCTGCTGGGTCTTCATGGTTGTCCCAAACTGAACTCATTCCTCCCCCAACACATACACACACCAATAAATGGGCTCTTATTCCTCAATTCCCCTCTCCCAACAAACGGCATCCTTGTTCTTCTTGCACGTTAGGCTCAAGAATTCCATAAGCCTCTTTTTTTCCTCACCTACCTTATTTGTCAATTTGCAAATTAAATGCATTGTCTCTTATATGTTTTCCTTTGTTTCAGTTATCACAGTCATAACTATTTTTTTGTCTTTGCTTAATTCCTGAATACTTGTAATATGGTTTCTTCTATTCTAATTCAACTCAGTCTAGGCCACGAAACAAATCATGCCTGTGTAAAACTTGACCACAATGGGCCGGGCGCGGTGGCTCACGCCTGTAATCCCAGCACTTTGGGAGGCCGAGGCGGGCGGATCACGAGGTCAGGAGATCGAGACCATCCCGGCTAAAACGGTGAAACCCCGTCTCTACTAAAAATACAAAAAATTAGCCGGGCGTAGTGGCGGGCGCCTGTAGTCCCAGCTACTTGGGAGGCTGAGGCAGGAGAATGGGGTGAACCCGGGAGGCGGAGCTTGCAGTGAGCCAAGATTGCGCCACTGCACTCCAGCCTGGGCGACAGAGCGAGACTCCGTCTCAAAAAAAAAAAAAAAAAAAAAAAAAAAAAAAAAAATTGACCACAATGCTATGATCTTTTTCCATTATCAAGCTGATTTCTTGTATCATGTAACTGCTTAAAATAGTTCATTTTTGCATAAGAGTAGAGCTAAGTTTTTGAGCACTTACTCTGCTTTTCATACATTTATTTAAGTCTATTTTTTGGTTAGGCTATTTATTATTGTCACACTATTTTTACAGATTAGGAAATTTTACAGATAAGACCTAGAGACCTTAAATAATCTATCCAAGTTCATATAATCCAGGAGTAAGTGATAGAGTCAGGACTCAAATCAATGCCTATGTGATCACAAATCTCAAGTGTTAATATCAACACTATCAAGTATTGTCTGACTCTTACAGTTGCCTGTGCCTTAGTAAAGTACAATCTGGTGGGTAGCTGAGAATGATAGGCCTAACACTCTAAAGAATACTAGGGAACTCTAGAAAGACAGGCTTGCAAAAACTCACCTATCTTATTTGATTCTGAGATTCTCTCTATTATACGATGTTCTATTAAATACCTAGTTGTTACTCTGGGTAGTGTTTAGTACTACCACATTAAAGGTGAAGATTGATTATAGGACTTACCCATATTTCAAAGAAAATAGAATTGTGAAAAACAATTTACCTTATAATAGAGAAAATGTGACACTTTGACAATATTTCAGTAACTTGTTCATATGAGGAGTGTGTGTGAAGCCTTTACATCTATTGGACATGCCACGGACAGTGGCTCAAGATAAACTCTGCTAAGTGGAAGTAGTAAAACGTATAGAATATTTCAGTTTTTCTTGACATGTAGGTATATTTTTAAATCTTTTAGTCAAATGTATCAAACTCCCTGCCAAAATAACCCAGCATCTTTTTCATTTCATTTATCCTAAAAGCTTCTGAAAATTAACAAATGATCCCTATTCTTTACTAAATTCCAAATCTTTGCCTCTTCATCAGTATTCTCTTTGTTTGAAAAAAACAAAAAACAAAAAACAAAACTGCAAACATATTCCCCTCTCTTTACATGCCTTTCAAACTGCAGTAGTCTCTAGATTTTTCTCTCAGGGAATGTTATGGATACTAAACTCTCATTTAATTTTAATGTGTTTATTTATTGAATTAATACATGCACATGGTTAATGATTCAATTATAACAGAGAACAAAAAATAAGTTCCCTCTCCAGAGACAGTCTTGTAAGTGTTTTGGTACATGTTCTAGAAATAATAGTTCTTGCTTGTTCAAGTTTATGTAAATCTGACTCCTCCTCCTTCTTTTTTTTTTTTTTTTTTGAGATTAAGTCTAGCTCTGTCGCTCAGGCTGGAGTGCAGTGGTGCGATCCCGGCTCACTGCAAGCTCCGCCTCCTGGATTCACGCCATTCTCCTGCCTCAGCCTCCCAAGTAGCTGGGACTACAGGCGTGCACCACCACGCCTGGCTAACTTTTGACTCCTCCTTCTTTTACACAGAAACACACAGCCCAAACCTTCCTGTACTTCACTTCTTTAATTAGCAATGTGGTTCTTATCGGCATATTTCAAAGTTGATTAAAAAATACATAGAATTGTGCCATTATTTTCCATTTTATTATGAGAATTTTCAAACATCTATAGAAGCTGAAAGTTTTATACAGTGAACATGCATGTACCCACCACCTAGATTCTGGATAAAACTATTACTGCTTTACCACATAACAATCCATCTATCCATCCTTCTATTCATCCATCAATCCATCTAGTTTTTTAATTCATTGAAAAGTCAACTGAAAGCATACTTCACTTCTAAGCAGTTCAGCACACATATAATTAACTGGAGTTGAAGCTGTTTTTCAGGTAAAATTTGCATGCAGCACCATGCACAAATCTTGAATACTGTTAAACAAGTTTTGACAAATGCATACACTGTGTAACCTACTAAATTATAGAATATTACCATTATCTCCAAGTTTTCTCATACCTTTAGTTTTCCTCACTGCTAACCCCTTAGAGGCAACCAGAGTTCTGATTTCATTATAAATTATTCTTTTCTAGAATTTTCTATAAATGGAATAACATCATACACTCTTCTATGCAAAGTTTCTTTCACTCAGAATAACGTTTTTAAGATTTGTTCAAGTTGTGTGTATTAGTACTTCATTCCCTTTTGTGGCAGTGGAATATGTCACCATGTGGATATACTACCCTTTGTTTAGCCACTTCCTGTAGATGGACGTTCAAGATGTCTCCAGGTTTTCGCAATGATGAAATCACTTTCTGTAAACATTCTGCTTTAAGTCTTTTTTTGTAGATGTATGCTCTTATTTCTCTTAAGTAAATACTTAGGAGTATAATTGCTGGCTCATGGGGTAGATGATCATAGGGGTTTAGTTTTATAAGAAACTATTATTTTCCCAAATTGGTTGTATTATCCACTTTCACCAACAATATATGTAAGTTCTGGGACTCCAAATTTTTGCCAGCATTTGGTGTTGCCAGGTGGTTTAATTTGAGTGGGTATGTGGATGGTTAGTGGTATCTCATTGTGGTTTTAATGTGTATTTTCTATTTGTCTGTCCTTTTGCCAGTACCACATTCCTTTGATTATTGTGGGTTTATAGTAAGTCTTGAAGTCAGATAGTGAAAGTACTCCAAGTGTGTTCTTTCTAAATAACGTTTTGATTATTCTAGAGTGTCAGGAGCTCAGCAGAACTGAAAAAGAGTGCTGAGGACTTAGGTACTCATTTTAACATATTTAGTCTTTTTAAAATTTCAACTTTTATTTTAGATACAGGGGGTACATATGCAGGTTTGTTACATGGGTATATTGCACCCAGGTAGTGAGCCAATTAAAGCAACAAGCCCAAAAGGAAAGAGTTAAGTCTTTAATTACCTCCTTTAATAGTGTAAGCAAGAGTCTAAAGCCAGAGAAATTACTGACTCCCCCTGTTCCATTTTTCCCTGTGGAAATGGCACTGGTCAAGGGTTAGTTGGATTAGTGCAGACATGGGTTTGTCTCACTGTTGGGGGGCCCTGCAAGGAGAAAGTGGAAACTCACTGGGTACTCAGAGTGGAGAAAAGTGTCTTTAAGGCTTTCTCTTCCTCTCCTATTAGGAGGCCATGACAGAGGCACCTGAAGAAGACCTCTACATAGGCCTCAGATAAAGAGACCTAAGAATGGAGGATCCTGAGCTGGCAATATAAATATGCACAAGGGCGTGACCAGCCAGGGGGTCCTTGACTGCAACTCCCTTCAAAGACTGCAATGCATTGGCTGTGAACCAAGTCTGGGGTGGGCAGAACAGCCTCTCCACACCCTGTAAGCCTGCCAGGTAAAGCCTTTGTAATTAATTACCTCTGGCCTGAAACATACATAGGCTTCTAACCAGGAGTGGGACTTCTCATAAATTCTTTGTGTGTTCATATACCTTCTAGAATCAGCTTTTTAGTTTCTTAGAAAACAAAAACAGTTGAGATAACAATTGAGATTTTAATTACTGTAGATAAAATTTAGAGAGTGCTAGTTTTAACATATTTAGTCTTTTTAAAATTCCCACTTTTATTTTATATACAGAGGGTACATATGAAGGTTTGTTACATGGGTATACTGCACCCAGGTAGCAAACATAGTACCCAATAGGTAGTTTTTCAACCCATGTCAACCTCCCTCTCTCTTCCCCTCAAGTAGTGCTCAGTGTCAATCATTCCCATGTTTATGTTCATGTGTGCTCAATGTTTAGTTCCCACTTGTAAGTGAGAACATGTAGTATTTGGTTTTCTGTTCCTGCATTAATTTACTTAGGACTATGGCCTTCAGCTCTATTTATGTTGCTGCAAACAACTTGATTTCATTCTTTTTTTAGGGCTGTGTAGTATTCCATAGCATATATGTTTTCTTCATCCAATCCATCATTGATGGGCACCTCGCTTGATTCCATGTCTTTGCTATTGTGAATTGCATGGTGATGAACATATGAGTGCATTTTGGTATAATGATCTAGTTTCCTTTGGATATATAATCAATAATGGGATTGCTAGGTGGAATGGTAGCTCTGTTTTAAATTATTTGAGAAATCTCCAAACTGCTTTCCTCAGTGCCTGAACTAATTTACATTTCCACCAACAATGTATAAGCATTCCTTTTGGGTGGAGTGTTCTGTATTTGTCTATTAGTTTCAACTGGTTAAGTGCTGAGTTTAAGTCCAGCATTTCTTTGTTAGTTTTCTGCCTCAATGATCTGTCTAACACTGTCAGTGGAGTGTTGAAATTTCCCACTATTATCGTCTGGTTGTCTAAATCTTTTCATAGGCCAAGAAGAACTTGTTTTATGGATATGGGTGCTCCAATGTTGGATGCATATATATTTAGGATTGTTAGGTCTCCTTGTTGGATTGTACTCTTTATCATTATAGTAATGCCCTTCATTGTTTAACATCTGTTTTATCTGATAGAAGAATAGCAACTCCTGTCCTTTTTTGTTTTTCATTTGCTTGATAGATATTTTCCCCTCTCTTTGTTTTGAGCCTGTGGGTGTTGTTACATGTGAGATGGGTCTCTTGAAGGCAGTGATGGTTGGGTCTTGTGTTTTTATCCAGTTTGCCACTCAATGTCTTTTAAGCAGGTGTTTAGCCCATTTATATTCAAGATTAGTATTGATAGGTGTGATTTTGATTTCATACCCATGTTGTTAGCTGGTTGTTATGTAGACTTGACAGCATAGTTGATTTATAGTGCCTGTGGGCTATGTGCTCAAGTGTTTTATGGCAGCAGGTTCTCTAGATTCCATATTTAGCACTCCCTTAAGGACCTTTTGTAAGGATGGTCTACTTAAAATAAATTTCCTCAGCATTTGCTTGTCTAAAAAGGATTTTATTTCTCCTTCATTTATGAAGTTTAATTTGACAGGATATAACATTTTTAGTTAAATTTTTTTCAGGATGCTGAAAATAGTCTCCCAATCTCTTCTGGCGTATAAGTTTTCTGCTGAGAAGTCTGTGGCTAGCCTGATGGGGTTTCCTCTGTATGTGACTTGACCCTTCACTCTAGCTGCCTTTAGAATTTTTTTTTCTTTTACCTTGACCTTGGTGAATCTGACGACTATGTGTCTTGGGGATAGTTGTCTTATATAGTAACTAGCCAGGGTTCTCTGTATTTCTTGGAATTGAATTTCAACCTCTCTGGCAAGATTAGGCAATTTTTTTGGTGTTTTTCAAATACATTTTTGAAATTGCTTACTCTTTCTCCTCCTATTTCAGGAATGCCAATGAGTCATAGATTTTATATCTTTACATAATCCTATATTTGTTAGAGGTTTTTTTTTTTTTTTTTTTTTTTTTTTTTAGACAGAGTCTCGCTCTGTCACCCAGGCTGGAGTGCAGTGGCGCTATCTCGGCTCACCGCAAGCTCCACCTCCCAGGTTCACGCCATTCTCCTGCCTCAGCCTCCCGAGTAGCTGGGATTATAGGTACCTGCCACCATGCCCGGCTAGTTTTTTTATATTTTTAGTAGAGACGGGGTTTCACCATGTTAGCCAGGATGGTCTCGATCTCCTGAACTCGTGATCTGCCGGCCTCGGCCTCCCAGACTGCTGGGATTACAGGCGTGAGCCACCGCGCCCAGCCAGTTTTGTTCATTTTTTAAATTCTTTTGTCTTAATTTTCATCTAAGTTGATTCAAAGAACTGATCTTCAAGCTCTGAGATTCTTTCCTCAGCTTGGTCTGTTCTGCTGTTAATTAATAATTTACAGCAGAATTTACAGCAGAATTGCATTATTAAATTCTAGTAGTAAATTTTTGAGCTCTAGAAGTTTATTCTGATTCTCAAAATGGCTATTTCATCTTTCAGTTCTTGGATCATTTTACCGGGTTACTTGGATTCCTTGGATTGAGTTTCAAATTTCTTCTGAATCTCAATGAGCTTCCTTTCTATCCAGATTCTGAATTTTGTGTTTGTCATTTCAGCTATTTCAGACTGGTTAAGAACCATTTCTAGGGAGCTAGTGATCCATTTGGATGTAAGGGGATGCTGTGGTTTTTTGAATTGCCAGAGTTCTTGTGCTGATTCTTTCTCATCTGATAGGGTTGGTGTTCCTTTAACTGCGGGGTAAGTTGAGTATGGTCAGTTGGATTCATTTCTGGATGCTTTCAGAGGGCCAGGGCTCTGTACAGAATCCGCATATGTGGGTGAATTCTTGCACCTGGTTTCACATCTTGCATATATAATTAGCATGATAATTTTAGTGTGGTAGTTTGTGCCGTGATCCAGTAGATGGCGCTTAAGAGTAATGGCCGATAGCTAGGCTAACACCCAGCTTGTGTGGCTCTTGTACTTTCTTGTTCACAGGCATGCTCTGAGGTGGGTGGGGGAGAGAGATGGCCCCCTCACAAGGTTTGCTCCTAGGACTTGTGGGGAATCACCTCCAATCCCTGGCACTGCACCTGCATTTCTTTTGTTAGGTGTTCCAGGCTGCAGGGGACTCCTGAGGCAGAGGCTGCAACAATCCATGGACATGATTTATACTTCTATATTTTAAAACTGTCTTTCATTTCCTTTAGCAACTATTTTTATTTTTCTGTATACAAGTCTTGCATGCCTTTTGCTAAATTTAAATATTTTGTTTTTAATATAAATTTAGGTTTTAAAATTGAATTATCCAATTGTTTACCATTAGTATACAAAATATAATTTTTATATGTTGTAATAATAAATTAAGGTATGCACTTATTAATTTGAGTAGTTAATGTATAGTTTTTTAAATATTTGGATGTAAGTAGTCCTTTCATCTCTGAAAAAGGTTTTCCTTATCCTTTGATCTTCAGCTTTTTAGTATTTTTCTTGTCTTTATGCATCAGTACAATATGGAATAGAAGTGGTTAAGAGTGAACATTATTGACTTCTTTATGATCTTGAACATGTTTAGTATTTAAGAAATAAAAATGGGAAGACGTTTAATATTTCTCTCATTAAGTGTGACATAAGCTGTTGGTTTCTTTCAGGTGCCTTTATTAGATTGAAGAAGTCCCTTTTTTCAACCTAATTTTCTGAGTGTTTTTATCATAAATGAGTTTGGGATTTTACCAAATTTTTTCTATCTGTAGGTATAATCAAATAGATTTTTTAAAATGTGTTAATAAGATGAGTTACATTGATTGATTTTTTTAATGTTAGACCAAACTGGCTCCTAGAATAGACTCTATTTAAATATTTGAATAATATTTTTGGATTCTGTTTTGATTTTTATTTATTGGCTTTTTGCTATACCTCTTTAATATTTTCAGGGCTATTCTGGAAAATAAAGAATGATACATTTAAAACTATTTGTCTACTTACTGTATTGTAGAAGTTTACTTAAAATATAAGAAATTTGCAACTAATAGATGTTTTTCCTACTCCCGTCCTTTAAGTTTTAGTGTCATTCTGTATTACATATATTTTATATATCCTATAATACAATGATGAAGTTTTTACTTTAACTAGTCTTACTTTTTTTTTTTTTTTTTGAGACGCAGTCTCGCTCTGTCGCCCAGGGTGGAGTGCAGTAGCGCGATCTCGGCTCACTGCAAGCTCCGCCTCCCGGGTTCACGCCATTTTCCTGCCTCAGCCTCCCGAGTAGAGTAGCTGGGACTACAGGTACCCACCACCTCGCCCGGCTAATTTTTTTTTTTTTTTTTTTTTTGGTATTTTTAGTAGAGACGGGGTTTCACCGTGTTAGCCAGGATGGTATCGATCTCCTGACCTCATGATCCGCCCGCTTCCGCCTCCCAAAAGTGCTGGGATTACAGGCTTGAGCCGCGGTGGCTCGACCTAAGACTCTTTACTATCTGACTACATTTCACTACTTCTTGTGCTCTTCATTTCTTCCTCACAATCCAAGCTTCCAACTGGTATTATTTCTTTTTTACCTAAGAGAATTCCATTGCCATTTACTATCATGTAGTTCTACTGCCAATGAATATTTTAATTTTTATTTATATTCAGATAACTTTACTGTGGTATTTTAATTTTTTGCTGAATATTTTATATCAAATTCTGGGTTTACTTTTTCTATTTCTTGTAGCACTTTAAAGCTACAGTTCCCTTCTCTTCTGGTATTCGCTTTTTTAAAAGGAAAAATTATCATTATTCATGTTGTTGTTCCTGGTATGTATGATTTTTCTCTGGCTGTTTGAAGATTTTGTCTTCTTTTCTAGTTTTGGACAATTTGACTGTGATGTGCCTAGGTAGGTTTTCTACAGATTATTTTTCTGAAATTCTTTTTATATCTTTCAATATACTTTTTAATTAGGCTTTTTAAAAAATATTGTTTTTATCCATGCTTTTTAATATTTATATCTCCTCTTCTTTCACTCTTACTCCAATTGCACACATTTTGTACCTTTTGATATTTTTCTAAAGATCACTGAGGCTATTAATTTTTTCATATTTTTTTCTCCTGTTCTCTAGATTTTGTAATTTCTATGGATATAACATCAAGTTTCTGTGTCCTTCTTCTGACATAAGCTGTTGGTTTCTTTCAGGTGCCTTTATTAGATTGAAGAAGTCCTTTTTTCCAGCACCATTTATTGAAGATACTATTCTTTCCTCATTCTTGTTCTTGACACCTTTGTAGAAGATTAGTTAACCTTATATGAGTGGGTTTATTTCTGTGATTTCAATTCTGTTCCATTGCTCTATGTGTGTTTTTATGCCAGTACTCTGTTTTGATTGCTATAGCTTTATAATAGAATTTGAACACAGGAAGTGTGATGCTTCTGGCTTTGTCCTTACTGTATGGTTCTCTTTCTGTTTTTTAAAAGTCAGTGTTGGTTGAGCTTTTTTTAAAAAAATCTGCAATTCAATATTTTTCATCAATATTTTTTTCTCTCCCTTTTTGGGGCTCCCATTACATGTATGTGGGGACATTTAACATCATCCTATGTGTGTCTGAAGGTCTGTTCATTTGTCTTCATTTTTTTCTCTCTGTTTTTCAAATTGGATCATTTCTATTGGTCTATTTTCATGTTCACTGGTTCTTCCACTATCTGAAAATCTGCTATTGAGCCCATCTAGTGAATTCTTAATTTTGGTAACTGTACCTTCCAACTCCAGAATTTCCATTTAATTCTTTTTATAGTTTGTATTTCACTATTTAGATTCCCTATTTGTCAAGTCATTTAAATCATATTTTCTTTTAATTCCTTGAACAGTTTTCTTTAATTCTCTGAGGCTGGGTGCAGTGGCTCATGCCTGTAATCCCAGCACTCTGGGAGGCTGAGGCGGGTAGATCACTTGAGGTCAGGAGTTCAGGACTAGCCTAGCAAACATGGTGAAACCCTGTCTCTAGTAAAAATACAAAAAATTAGCCGGGCGTGGTAGTGGGCGCCTGTAATCTCAGCAACTTGGGAGGCTGAGGCAGGAGAATCACTTGAACCCAGGAGGCGGAAGTTGCAGTGAACTGAGATCGTGCCACTGCACTCCAGCCTGGGCGACAGAGTGAGACTCCATCTCCAAAAAAAAAAAAAAAAAAACTTCAAGCCCATTGCATTTCCAGCCCCTGTTAGTTGATCTGTGTGGGGCTTGGAGAAGGCCAGTTTTCAAGTCCCCCTTGTCTTTCACTTTTTGCTGGGCTCTCTCAGGTCTTCTCTATATATGCATAGATAGTTTTTTCAGTCAGCCAGGGATGCGTGAAGAGCTCACTTCAATACTTCTCTGATTCTCATTTCCAGAATCCGCCTGTTAAATTCCTGGTTGGCCTGCTGCTTGCCCCAAGTGGGGCTGCAACCTCAAGCTAGCGAAGCTGTGGATTTGTCCTGCTCATTTCCAAGTGTTCATTCCCATGTTAAGCCAACAAAGCCAAGGATTTTCAACCCCCCAGCCACTGCTCTGAATTGAATCTGTTTGTATGGCAGCAAAGCTACTAGTTTTCATGGTCAGCCCCATCTTACTTAAAAGTCATTGGCTGAGCTGGGGGGTGA
Source organism: Homo sapiens (assembly GCF_000001405.40). Lineage (NCBI taxonomy): Eukaryota > Metazoa > Chordata > Mammalia > Primates > Hominidae > Homo > Homo sapiens. Next base: position 33,775,253 of record NC_000009.12, on the reverse strand, counting down.
CGGGAGCAGCCACAGGCAGAAAAAGCCACAATCTCCTACTTGCCTAAAGATCTAGTAGTTTTTCAAGAATAAATGCTGCTCAATTTTTTGCCTGCATTTTGTCAATTTCCAGTTTCCTGAAATGGTTGGTTTTGATAAATAATTTTGTCTAGTTTTATATATTTTTTGGTTGGTTGTTGCTTTTTTTTTTTTTTTTACAGAAAGAAATTGCCTGCCTCTTTGTGCTGCCATAACTGGAAGGCCTTCTCCTCATTATTATTATTTTTTGAGATGGAGTTTCGCTCTTGTTGCTCAGGCTGGCATGCAATGGTGCAATCTTGGCTCACTGCAACCTCTGCCTCCCAGATTCAAGCGATTCTCCTGCCTCAGCCTTCCAAGTAGCTGGGATTACAGGCGTGCGCCACCATGCCTGTAATTTTTTTGTGTTTTTAGTAGAGGCAGGGTTTCACCATGTTGGTCAGGCTGATCTCAAACTCCTGACCTCAAGTGATCCACCTGCCTCGGCCTCCCAAAGTGCTGGGATTACAGGCGTGAGCCACTGTGCCCAGCCTGCTTTTTTTTTAAACCCTCCTTTGAACATAAAAAATTTACATTTTTGTTTAATGTTTAACACAGGTCCCTTTCAATATCAAGCTCGTTATACTTCATTTTCCTAGGCAAAGGTGCAGAAAAACCAGCTTTGCAAATGTATGTCAAAATTGCACACTGACTAACCGGCTTCCCTCCTCCCTGCCCTGCCTCATTTTTCTCAAAAGCAGTGCCTGAAATAAAGGCAGAGTCCTTGTCTGCCTCTGTGTACTTGATACCGGCTTGTCAAGACCCACCCTTCCCTTTCACCTCGTCTAAAATTCACACCAGTGGACAGCAGGGCCTGCAGCATGTCTGTAGAAATTTATTTAAACTTATGTATGATTCATAGAAGACTGAGTACTTTGATTTGATGGGGATGGGCTATATTTCTTCCATTAACAAATTAATGGATTAGTTCATTAGATTAGCTACATTATGGAACACGTGGAGGAGATGGAGGATGAGTCACTTTTAGTTACAGGAGGAACAAGGTAATAAATAACTTCAAGTAGAACAATAAAAATTTGGACTTCTAAATAATTTGGATAACCCATTTTCCAAATATAGGCTAAGCCCCTGCTGTGGTTTAGCATTAAAAACATTTAAATAAAATAAATGTTAAATAAAAAAATACTTAAGGAATGTTTCCTAATATACACAACTGGTGTGTGCAATATACAATAAAACCTTTCAATCTAAGGACAAACTTACGAATAGGAAAACAAATATCAGATAATGCTTTTAGGCCAGGTGCAGTGGCTCACACCTGTAATCCCAGCACTTTGGAAGGCTGAGGTAGGAAGATTGCTTGAGCCCAGGAGTTCAAGATCAGTCTGGGCAACATAGTGAGACCCCTGTCTCTACTAAAAATAAATTAGCTGGGCATGGAAGGGCACGCCGTAGTCCAAGCTACTCGGGAGGCTGAGATGGGAGGATTGCTTGAGCCTGTGAGGTTGAGGCTGCAGTGAGCCGTGATCGCACCGCTGACACTCCGTGTCACTCCACCGCTGGGTGACAGAGTGAGACCCTGTCTCCAAAGGAAAAAAATAAGTGCTTTCACAAAGGCAAATTCCCCAACTTTCTTATTTCAATATATTTCCTCTTTTTTTAATTTCACATGAGATATGATGGGAGTGTGAGGGGAGGATTGAATGTTTTGGACAAGTAGTAACTTTGCCTTTCACTTTCTGCTGTGCTGTCTCAGGTCTTCCCCATAGATGCATAGCTTTTTCAGTCAGCTAGGGATGTGTGAAGACCTCATCTCAACACTTCCATGACTCTCATTTCTAGAATCTCCCTATTAAATCCCTGGCTGATTTGCTGCTATGGCCTAGTATTAAAAATAGCAACCAAGCTGGCAACCAAGAAGACTGGAGGTTTGGGCAACTGTTCCTTTTTATTTCATATCTAGGGAGATCATTGGATCCTTCCCTCCCTCCCTCTCTCCTTCCTTCTCTCTCTCTCTCTCTCATTTGAGATAAGTGAAATAGAAGATAAGATAGAAGGAGTCAGAAAGAGAAAATGGAGGCAAGAGTAAGGGAGAATGAGGAGCAAGGAAACCAGAGGGAAGCAGAGGCACAGAAGAAGAGAGAGGAAATGGTGCCAAGGAAAGGAGAAATTATGGTTGATGCCATTTGGCTGTAGTTAAAAGTAAAACTTGATACGGTGCTTTAAAAAAACAAAGCAGTAATTTTCCCTTATTTTAGAGGGGGGAAAGCAGGAAATGGTGAAAGAAGAGATGTCCAGATGAATGGAAGGATCAGAAAAAGGGGGAAGGTGAATTTTGTTTTTCTCCTCGAGTGCCTAGGCTTGGCAACCAGCACTCTCTAACATTACGTTGCTCCCACAGGTGGAGAGTTAAAGCAAATGTCTCCCAGTTTGTGGCGGCAGACACAAAATATATAGATCCCAAATACCCCAGAGAGCTTGGGCCTCTACTCAAGTTCCAACCACGTGTTTGAATGAATAAATTATATTTTATCTTTACTATGAGATGCTATATAACCATTAAAAAGAATGAATTGGAGGTATCCCAGCTGTCCTAGAAGGTTTTTCATGAGATGTTGGCGAGACAAGCAAGAAGAGCGACAAGAGCGAAACTCCGTCTCACAAAAAAATTAAAATAAAATAAAATTAGTATAATTAAAATTCTTTGTATCATTAAAATTCAGGCAACTCAGGCTCTGTCACAGTACAAGGTTAAGCCATTAGGTCATTCTTGAGTCCAATGGCTCACAACGGGGACTGGTGGTGGCACTCTGGCTTCTCTGAGTGGAGACCAGGGACACTGCTGAACATCCTCCAAAGCACAGGATGGCCCCACAGCCAAGACTCTTGTGGCCCAGAGTATCAGCAATGTCGAGCCTGTGAGATCCTGCTCTCACCCAGGCCTGCTTCCCAAAGCCCTTTAAGTCCTGAAGGGAGAAGACAGCAGGCTGCCTTCTTTCTGTTATTTAAATCCCACTTAACTCCCTCTTAGAGCATGTTCTTCTCCCTTTAAGACTAGCCTGGGGGCTGCGCGCGGTGGCTTACGCCTGTAATCCCAGCACATTGGGAGGCTGAGGTGGGTGGATCACCTGAGGTCAGGAATTTGAGACCAGGCTGGCCAACATGGTGAAACCCCATCTCTACTAAAAATGCAAAAATGAGCTGGGCATGGTGGCGGGCACCTGTAGTCCCAGCTAATTGGGAGGCTGAGGCATGAGAATAGCTTGAACCCAGGAGGCAGAGGTTACAGTGAGCTGAGATTGAGCCACTGCACTATAGCCTGGGTGATAAAGCAAGATTTAGTTTCAAAAAAAAAAAAAAAAGAAAAGAAAGAAAGAAACTAGCCTGGATAACATGGTGAAACTCCATTTCTACCAAAAAAACAAAAAAACAAAAAGAAAAGAAAAGAAAAGAAAAAAAATTAGCTGGGTGTGGTGGTGCATGCCTGTAGTCCCAGCTACTCAGGAGGTTGAGGCTGCAGTGAGCCATGATTATGTCACTGCACTCCAGCCTGGGCAACAGAAGAGACCCTGTCTCAAAAAAAAAAAAAACAAAAAAACAAAAAAACAAAACCCAGTGCAGTGGCTCATGCCTGTAATCCCAGCACTTTGGGAGGCTGAGGCGGGCGGATTGCCTGAGGTCAAGAGTTCAAGACCAGCCTGGCCAACATAGTGAAACCCTGTCTGTTACTAAAAATACAAAAATCAGCCGGGCGTGGTGGTGGGCACCTGTAATCCCAGCTACTCAGGAGGCTGAGGCAGGAGAAACTCTTGAACCCAGTAGGCAGAGGTTGCAGTGAGCTGAGATCGCGCCACTGCACTCCAGCACTCCAGCCTGGGAGACAGAGCAAGACTCCATCTCAAAACATAAAAAAAAAAAAAGGAAAAGAAACCCCTCACTCTCACCAGTCTTCTCCTTCCCCAGCCCCATCTACATGTGGTGGAGACCAGCCAAGGCTGGTCTTAAAGGGAGAAGAACATGCTCTAAGAGGGAGTAAGTGGGATTTCAATAACAAAGAAAGAAGGCAGCCTGTTCTCTTCTCTCTTCAGGACTAAAGGGCTTTGGGAAGCAGGCCTGGGTGAGAGCAGGATCTCACAGCCTCGGCATTGCTGATACTCTGGGCCACAGGGGTCTTTGTTGTGGGGCTGTCCTGTGCATTGCAGGGTGTCCAGCAGGCAGCCACCAGTCATTTTATATTTCTACAGGTTTGCCTTTCAATTCATAAATTGAATTATATAATATGTGGCCTTTTGTGACTGGCCCTTTCTGTTGGCACGATATTTCCCAGGTTTCTCCATGTTGTAAGCATGAATCAGCACTGAGTCCTTTTGATGGCTGAATGGTACTTCGTTGTGTGGGTACACCACATATACTGGTTGCTAGGGCTGGTAAGACAGTACCACACACTGGGCAGATTAAACAATCATTTACATTCTCAGTTCTGGAGGCCTCTCTTCTTGGCTTGGAGGTGGCCATCTTCTCTCAGTGTCCTCACATAGTCATCCTCTTGTGTGTGTCTGTGTTCTTATGAGGACATTACTCATACTGCATTTGGGCCCCACCCTAATGATCTCATTTTAATTTAATTACTTCTTTAAAGATCTTATCTCAAAAGAGTCACATCCTGAGGTACTGGGAGATAAGACTTCAACATTTGAATTTGGAGAGAGCATACTCAGCCCATAACACCCTGTCCTCTGCTCCCTGAAAATCCATGTCCTTCTCATATGCAAAATACACTCATCCCCATCCCAACAGTGCCAGAAGTCTTAACCCAGACCAGCATCAACTGTAAGTCCAAAATCTCATGTAAGTATCGTCTAAACCAGGTATGGGTGAGATTTGAGGTATGGTTCATCCTGAGGCAAAATTCTTCTCCAGCTGTGAACCTTTATGACCAGACAAGAAATTATCTGCTTCCCAAACAGGACAGGCAGAGTATAGACATTTCTAGTTTAAAAGTGGGACATTGGAAAGAAGAAAGTGGTCATGGATCTCCTGTCCTGGAACCTGGTAGGGCAAATTCCGTTCAATTTTTTTTTTTTTTTGAGACAGTTTCATTTCACCCTTGTCGCCCAGGCTGGAGTGCAGTGGCACGATCTTGGCTCACTCCAACCTCTGCCTCCTGGGTTCAAGTGATTCTCCTGCCTCAGCCTCCCAAGTAGCTGGGATTACAGGCATGAGCCACCATGCAAGGCTATTTATATGAGACAGGATTTCACCATGTTGCCCAGTCTGGTCTCCAACTCCTGATCCACCTGCCTCAGCTTCCCAAAGTGTTGGGATTACAGGCGTGAGCCACCGCGCCCAGCCCAATTCCAAGGCTTGAGAATAATCCTTTTTGGCTCAGTGTTCTGTTGTCTGGGTCCACAGGGTGGCCCTGCCTTCCAGGGCCATCACCCTGATTCCTCTACCCTAAATGGTGGCCCCACCCCTTGGTCCTGGGCTGGGGCATCCTGGCCTGCTGAAACCAAGGAAATGGCACCAGTCCTGCCCCTGAATCTGTGTGCCCTGGGCCCAAGGTGGCAGTAGCAACCTGGCAGATCTCTGAACTAGCTTCAGGGTCATTCTTCTCTTTCCTTTAAGGATAACTCATGATCATAGCCATATCGCTGTACTGGCTGGTCCTGCAGAATTCCAGAAGTCTGAGAATCTTCCTTCATTTCTTCCTATTTCTGTCTCCTTTGGTCCAAACTGGCAATGTCTGCTGGTATAAATTCTGAAAAACCTTGTTGGCCTCCTATGCAATCCATAGGGGGCGAGGCCATTTGACAAGAGGGCCCTCCACAGAAGTTCCTGGGAAAACCACATCTCTGTTCCCGACTTGCTGAGTTGGTTGACTGTATCCATGCATCACATTGGCCATCTTTTCAGATGGGGGTTCAGCCACACCCTTGGTCTTTTCTCCAGAATGTGCTTTCTCATTTTTTGTAGAATGGATAGACTGAGAGTTTTCCAAAAGTTTTGGTTCCTTTTTTTCTAAAAATTCCTTTTTTAGTTTATCTCTCTCCTTTCATATTTTACTATGAGCAGCAAGAAGAAATCAGGCCACCTTCAGTATTTTGCTTAGAAATCTCCTCAGCTAAATATCCAAGTTCATCATTTATAAGTTCTGCTTTCCATGAAACATGAGAATCCAATTCAACAAATTTCTTTGCCACTGTATAACAAGGTCCATCTTTCTTCTAGTTTCTAATACCATGTTCTCATTTCTGTCCAAGTTCTCACCAGAAGTACCTTTAACATTCATATTTCAACCAACATGCTGTTCCTGATGATACATGTATTCTCTAAGATGATAGACGCATTTTCTTTTCCTTTTTTATTTTTATTTTTTTGTGGAGACGGAGTTTCTCTCTGTCACCCAGGCTGGAGTGCAGTGGCATGATCTTGGCTCACTGCAACCTCTGCCCCCCGGGCTCAAGCAATTATCCTGCCTCAGCTCCCCGAGTAGCTGGGACTACAGGTGCATGCCACCACACCTGGCTAAGTTTTGTATTTTAGTAGAGATGGGGTTTCACCATGTTGGCCAGGCTGGTCTCAAACTCCTGACCTCAGGTGATCCACCTGTCTTGGCCTCCCAGAGTGCTGGGATTACAGGTGTGAGCCACGGTGCCCAGCTGATAGGTGCTTTCTCTACAGCTCTGTTCTTTCTTTCTCAGTCCTCACTGGAATCACCTTCAATGTCCACATTTCTGTTGTTGTTTTTTTTTTTCCTTTGAGTCTCGCTCTATTGCCCAGGCTGGAGTGCTGCGGTGGTGCTATCTCAGCTCACTGCAACCTCTGCCTCTCAGGTTCAAGCAATTCTTCTGCCTCAGCCTCCTGAGTAGCTGGGATTACAGGCACATGCCACCACGCCTGGCTAATTTTTGTATTTTTAGTAGAGACGGGGTTTCACCATGTTGGCCAGGCTGGTCTTGAACTCCTGACCTCAAGTTATCCACCCGCCTCAGCCTCCCAAAGTGCTGGGATTACAGGCGTGAGCCACAGCGCCCAGCTAATGTCCACATTTCTATCAACAGTCTCTTTAAGGCAATTTAGGCCTTTTCCAACATGCACCTCCAAACTCTTCCAGCCCTTACTCACTGTTTAGTTCCAAAGCCACGTCTGCTCACCAGCACCCTATTTCTTGGTACCCAAATCTGTACTGGTTGCCAGGGCTGCTGTAACAAAGGCCCACAGGCTGGGGGACTTAAACCACAGCCATTTATCTTCTAACAGTTCTGGAAGCTGGAAGTCTGAGACCAATGCGTTGGCAGAATGGGTTTCTTCTGAGGCCTCTCTCCTGGGCTTGCAGATGACCGCTTTCACCCTGTGTCTTCAGATGGTCTTCTTTCTGTGTGTGTCTGTGTCTAAAGTTCCTTTTTTTTTCAGACAGAGGTTCGCTCTTGTTGCCCAGGCTGGAGTGCAGTGGCACAATCTTGGCTCACTGCAACCTCTGCCTCCTGGGTTCAAGTGATTCTCCTGCCTCAGCCTCCTGAGTAGCTGGGATTACAGGTGTCTGCAACCACGCCTGGCTAATTTTTTGTATTTTTAGTAGAGACGGGGTTTCACCATGTTGGCCAGGCTGGTCTGGAACTCCTGAGCTCAGGTGATCCACCCGCCTTGGCCTCCCAAAGTGCTGGGATTACGGATGTGAGTCACCGCGCCCGGCCCTAAAGTTCCTCTTAAAGGATATCAGTCATATTGGATTACTGTCCTAATGACCTCATTTTAACTTGATTACTTCTTTAAAGACCCTGTCTCCAAACACAGGCATATTCTGAGGCACTGGAGGTGAGGACTTCATCACATACACTTGGAGGTGGGGGAGACAAAATTCTGCCCATAATGCCATATGTTATTTATCCATTCATCAATTCACACTTACATTTCCCTTTATTTTTTACTTTTTCTGTTTATTTTTTGAGACAGAGTCTCCCTCTGTCGGGCCAGGCTGGTCTCGAACTCCTGACCTCAGGTGATCCACCTGCCTGGGCCTCCCAAATTGCTGGGATTACAGGTGTGAGCCACCAGGCCTGGCCAATTAACACATTTCCTTTTATAGATTTAATTACTAAATCACTGTGAAAAATAACTCTCAGGTGTATAACAAGCTACAACTATTTCAACAACTTTACTAAGTTTTTTTACTTTTTATTTCTGTGACAGTTTTTCCTGATGGCTCTGAAAGTCACCCTAAGATGGTTCTCCGTACTTTATTGCCATTACTCTTCTACTTAAAAAAAAAAAAATCCACCATGTAATTTACATACCATAAAATTTATCCTTTTAAGGTGTTTAATTTGGTATTTTTTGGTTTACTAACAGTTGTGCAACCATTATTGCTATCTAATTTTATATAAAATTACAACTATTCAATTTTAAAATGCTTTTACCAACCCCCAAAGAAATCCCATACACATTGATAGTCATTCCCATTTCCTGCCAGCACCCCCAGCCCCTGGCAATCAGTAATACGCTTTCCGTCTCTGTGGATTTGCCTAATTTAGACAGTTTATATAAATTAAATCATACAAGATGCAGCCTCTTTCCCTCAGCATAATGTTTTCAAGATTCATTCATGGTATAGCATGTATCAGCACTTCATTCCTTTATTTATTTATTTACTTATTTATTTATTTGAGACAGAGTCTTGCTCTGTCGCCCAGGCTGGAGCGCAGTGGTGCGATCTCTGCTCACTGCAAGCTCCACCTCCCCGGTTCACGCCATTCTCCTGCCTCAGCCTCCCGAGTAGCTGGGACTACAGGCGCCTGCCACCATGCCCGGCTAATTTTTTGTATTTTTAGTAGAAACGGGGTTTCACCGTGTTAGCCAGGATGGTCTTGATTTCCTGACCTTGTGATCCACCCACCTCGGCCTCCCAAAGTGCTGGGATTACAGGCGTGAGCCACCGCCCCCGGCTCCTTTTTTTTTTTTTTTTTTTTTTTTTTGAGACGGAATCTGGCTCTGTTGCCCAGGCTAGAGTGCATGGCGTGGTCTCGGCTCACTGCAACCTCTACCTCCCGGGTTCAAGCGATTCTCCTGCCTCAGCCTCCCGAGTAGTTGGGATTACAAACGCTCGCCAGTATGCCTGGTTAATTTTTATATTTATAGTAGAGATGGGGTTTCACCATATTGGCCAGGCTGATCTCGAACTGGTGACCTCGTGATCTGCCTGCCTTGGCCCCCAAAGTGCTGGGATTACAGGTGTGGGCCACCACGCCCGGCTACTTCATTCCTTTTTATGGCCAAATAATATTCCATTGTGTGGATGTGTCACATTTTATTTATTCACTTGTTAGTAGATGGACGTTTGAATTGTTATGAATAATGATGCTGTGAACAACTGCATGTTTTTGTGTGTATAGATGTTTTCATTTCTCTTGGATATGCAGTAGTCTCCCCTTATCCATGGATTTGCTTTCTGCAGTTTCAGTTACCTGCAGTCAACTGTGGTCCAAAACCATTAAATCAAAACTTCAAGAAACAAATAATTTAGAAATTTTAAATTGCACACCATTCTGAGTAGCATAAGGAAATTTCATGCCATCCCACCCTGGATATGAGTCATCGCTTTCTCCAGCATAACCATTAGTCACTTAGTAAACTGTCTGGATTATCAGGTTGACTGTCATGGTATCATAGTGCTTGTGTTCACATAACCCTTGTTTTACCTAATGGCTCCAAAATGAAAAAGTAGCGATGCTGGCAGTTTGAATATGCCAAAGAGAAGTTGTCAAGTGTTTTGTTTAAGTGGAAACATGAAAGTTCTTAATAACGAAAGAAAAAAATAGTATGCTGAGGTTGCTAAGATCTACAGTAAAAATGAATCTTCATCCATGAAATTGTGAGCAGTATATTGTTGTAATTGTTCTAGTACACATATAGTTCTAATATAGTCCTACTATTATTGTTAATCTCTTACTATACCTAATTTATATAAGCTTTATCATAGGTATATACATCTAGGAAAAAACATAGTGTATATAAGGTTTGGCACTAACTATCCACGGTTTTAGCATCCACTGGGGGTCTTGGAACATATCCCCTGCAGATAAAGGGTGATGACTGTATACCTAGGAGTGGAATACTTGGTCAGATGGTAACTCTATGTTTAACATTTTGAGAAACTGTCAGACTTTTCAAAAGTGGCTAGACCCTTTCACAATCCCACCAGCAATGTATTAGAGTTCCAGTTTCTTCACATCTTTGCCAACACTTGTTATGTCTTTTTTCATTTAGCCATTCTAGTGGGTATGAAGTGGTATTTTGTTGTTTTGTTTCCCTAATGATTAGTGATGTTGAGCATCTTTTCATGTGCTTATTGGGCACATGGAGAAATGCCTACTCAAATACATTGCCCATTTTAATTGGATTACTTGTCTATTATTGAGTTGTAATAGTTCTTTGTTCTAGATACAGGTTTCTTAACAGATATATTATTTGCAAATATTTTCTCCCATTCTGTGAGTTGTCTTTTCTTGATGCTGTCCTTGAAGCACAGAAGCTTGTAATTTTGATGAAGTCCAATTTATCTGTTTTTTTCTTTTGTTTGTGCTTTTGACGTTATATCCAAGAAACCACTGCTTAACCAAAGGTCAGAAAACCCACTTCTATGTTTTCTTCTAAGAATTGTAGTTTTAGCTCTTATATTTATGTTTCTGATCTATTTATTTATTTTTTGAGACTGAATTTTGCTCGTCTCCCAGGCTGGAGTGCAATGGTGCAATCTCGGCTCACTGCAACCTTCGCCTCCTACATTCAAGCGATTCTCCCGCCTCAGCCTCCTGAGTAGCTGGGATTACAGGAATGTGCCACCACACCTGGCTAATTTTGTATTTTTAATAGAGACAAGGTTTCACCATGTTGGCCAGGCTGGTCTAGAACTGCTAACCTCAGGTGATTCAGCCTTGGCTTCCCAAAGTGCTGGGATTACAGGTGTGAACCACTGCACCTGACCTCTGATCTATTTTGACTTAACTTTTGTATATGGTGTGAGGTAGGAATCCAACTTTATTCTTTCACATGTGAATATCCAAGTGTCCCAGCCATTTGTTAATAAGACTATTCTTTTTCCCTATTGAATTGTCTTGGCATCTTGTCTATCCTTCTACTCTTAAAAGTAGATTTCATCAACTCTTTACAGAAGGACCTTGCCTATAGCCAGCTCAAACTGTGAATCAGAAGACTGATTAATTAAACTATTATGATTCACATAAAAATAATTTACTAGAGTATACAGACAACACTCATAACAATGAAAACAAAGGGAAGATTCTTACTCAGCCTGGAGGAAATAGGAGAAAGATTATAGAGGGTAGTGTCATGAAAGCTTCCTGGAAAAACACACAGGCATTAGTCAGGTAGTGTGGGCAGAGTTCTAGTCAGAGCAAATAACACATGCAAAGGCTGAGAGGCAGTTGCAGCCAATCGTCCATATGGTGGGAGTGAACTAGATAATGTCACTTACTCTCTTTACCCTATATCATTTCCACCTTTTTTTTTTTTTTTTTTTTGAGACAGAGTCTCGCTCTTTCGCCCAGGCTGGAGTGCAGTGGCGCGATTTCTGCTCACTGCAAGCTCCGCCTCCCGGGTTCACGCCATTCTCCTGCCTCAGCCTCCCAAGTAGCTGGGATTACAGGTGCCCGCCACCACGCCCGGCTAATTTTTTATATTTTCAGTAGAGACGGGGTTTCACCGTGTTAGCCAGGATGGTCTCGATCTCCTGACCTCGTGATCCGCCTGCCTCGGCCTCCCAAAGTGCTGGGATTACAGGCGTGAGCCACCACGCCCGGCCTCCACCTTCTTTAGCAAGCAAAACCACATGTAATTCTCTTGCATGGATAGAATGCATTAAATCTTAAAATTTTGTTAGACTGGGACTGACCAAAAGAATATACTTAAAAGTAAAATCAAACAGACATTATGGTCCTATGTGCCCAAGAGTCTCAGGGAAAGGATAGAAACCAGCTCACACATGGGCCTGAGGAAGGCTGAGTTAGAAAAGACTTAAGTCAACTGTTATCTTAGTTTCAGTACATTCTATTTCCTACATCTTCCTAAAGGAAACCGAATTCCTAAATTTTCCTTTAAGGAGGAATATAGTCACATAATAGAATATGAACTATGTAGTGTCAGACCTAAGTTCAATCCTGGTTTTGCCACTTTTACTGGTAAGACCTTGGACAAGTTCTCTAATGTCTCTGAATCTCAGTACTCCTCCTTCTAAAACAGGGACATTAATACCACCTTGGAGGGGTCCTGTGAGGCTTACCTGAAAATGTCTAGCAGCTGACTAGAATACATGTTTAATAAGTGTTAGCTTCCTCTCTAGTCTGGTGCTCGTACACTATTCCCGCAATAATAGGGGAGAGACTTGGGCTTCTCTCCTGGAAGAATATATTTTGACCTAAAGTTGCTGTTCTTTGCTTTTGAGTAGCTGACCCTAAATGGGCAGAATTACTGTTTAACATCAGATAATCCTAGAGAGGGCAGTGGCTGAGCATAACTTTTTAATGGGAATGAGACATGTGTTTGGTCAGTAAGGAAGTAGGTTATAGGGTGATCACAGAATATTATTTTCATCGTTTTTGTACATTCTGAATCTGTCCTTGCCGGCACGAACTCTCAGGTGGCTTCTGGTCTGGGTTTGCTTTGGAATACCTGACTCAGCTTTTTGTAACTCTGCAAATAACAAGGTTAATACCTCTTCGTGTTCTATGAGCTGCTTAGTAACAGAATGCAGGGGATGCAGAGGGTTCTGTGTTGAAAGTCCTCCATTGCTCACAGGTGGATGTGACTGTGGCCGCAGTCCTGAACTTCAGTTAAGTCACGTCCCTGCTCTACAGTGGGCTCAGGGGCCTGAGGAGGTCCAGAGTCTATCCCCGTCTTTAGAATTTGACAGCTACTGCCATCATTGTTATTTCCTGTATGGGAAGTTCTTTGGAACAGCACGGTCAGAAGGAGTAAGACCAGAAAGAGTCTGAAGCTTGTTCTGGCACGATTTCACCATGATATGGAACACAATTACTATGAAAAAGAACTCTGTTACCTCCCAGCTCGTTTTGGTTCCTGATCGGAAGATAGTCTGAGCCCCGATGTCTCTCTCTTTCTAAAATTTTCCATATGAGCCAATTAAATACAGGATTCTTCTGGGTGCTAAGGAAATAATATAATGGATAATGATAAAATGAATAGTTTTATCTGCAAGGAGTTTATAATCTAGTAGAGAGCTGTATACAGTCAGGTGCCGCATAATGCCATTTTGGTTAATAACAGACGGCATGTATGATGGTGGCCCCATAAGATTATAATACCTTTTTTTCTTCTTTTTTTTGAGACAAGGTCTCACTCTGTCACCCAGGCTGGAGTACAGTGGCACGATCTCAACTCACTGCAACCTCCGTCCCCAGGGTTCAAGTGATCCTCCTGCCTCAGCTTCCTGAGTAGCTGGGACTACAGGTGTGCACCACCACGCTTGGCTAATTATTTTATTTTATTTTATTTTTGAGGCGGAGTTTCGCTCTTGTTGTCCAGGCTAGAGTGCAATGGCGTGATCTCAGCTCACGGCAACCTCCACCTCCCGGGTTCAAGCTATTCTCCTGTCTCAGCCTCCCCAGTAGCTGGGATTACAGGCATGCACCACCACGCCTGGCTAATTTTGTAATTTTAGTAGAGGCAGGGTTTCTCCATGTTGGTCAGGCTGGTCTCGAACTCCCAACCTCACATGATCTGCCCGCCTCCACCTCCCAAAGTGCTGGGATTACAGGTGTAAGCCACTGCACCTGGCCATAATACCGTATGTTTAATGCATGTTTTCCATGTTTAGATACACACATACTTACCACTGTGCTATAACTGCCTACAGTGTGTGGTACAGTAACGTGCTGTACAGGTTTGAAGTCAATTCTTGGAAAAAGCGCTCACGCCTACAGACTCCCTTCAGCATCTGCTAACAGTGCGTATGCTCAGTACTGACAGTATACACCGCATAGCCTAGATGTGTAGTAGGCTATGCCATTTGGGTTTGTATAAGTACACTCTAGGATGTCCACACAACAAAATCGCCTAACAACCCATTTCTCAGAACATGTCCCTGTCGTTAAGTGCCACATGACAATACTTGTGAAAGACTGATTGTCCTGGGACGTACTGGTAGCAGTCCTAGCGCATAGCACACAAAGTGGGTAACTCTCACCTGAGAAACTGGGTAGGCCTCACAGAGGGGGAGGCATTTGATTTGGGCCTTTCTTCAAACTGTCATGAAAATTAGGCAGTTTTGCTGGATCCTGAATTCGAGATTGAAAAACAAATTGGACTAAATTCTATTTTCTCACTATCTAACAAGAACACTGGCCACTGAGTCAGAATACCTGGGTCCTAGCCTGAATGCTGCTAGGAATTCACTCTGTGACCTTGAGCAAGACACATAGCCTCTCAGGGTCCTAATTTTTTTTTTTTTTTTTTTTTGTGACAGAGTCTTGCTGTGTCCCCCAGACTGGAGTGCAGTGGCATGATCTCGGCTCACTGCAACCTCCACCTTCTGGGTTCACGGCATTCTCTGGCCTCAGCCTCCCGAGTAGCTGGGACTATAGACGCCCGCCACCACACCCAGCTAATTTTTTGTATTTTTAGTAGAGATGGGGTTTCACTGTGTTAGCCAGGATGGTCTCGATCTCCTGACCTCATGATCCACCAGCGTCGGCCTCCCAAAGTGCTGGGATTACAGGCGTGAGCCACCGCACCCGGCCTCTTTATTTGTTAAATAGGGAGTTTGGAAGAGGGACTCTCCATGGCTCTTCCAAATTCTGAAACCCCTTTATGTCTTTGCTCCTCATTAATACATCATAAAAACGAAATGCAGAAGTTGGAGCAAGTTTTAGTCATGGAGAAAGGAGGATGAAACTAAGGCTATGGCTATTACCTACAAAGAAGCAGTTACCAGTTGCCACCTCAGCATACATTAGAGTGAAAGGACATCTCTGGACTTCAAAGGTGGGCTTAGTTTTCAAACAACCAAAAAAAAAAAAAAAACCTTACATATATTTCAGTAATTAACACTATCCTTAACTCAGCCATGTGAAAGAATACATTTAGTTCAGAATTCTCTTTCTGGGTGCTCAAGGAAAATAATAATGGAAAGATCACTCCAAAGTCATGGAGTCAAATTTCCGAGATGCCAGGCCACTAAGGAACATTTCTTCAAGGCTTGGGCTCTCTGCCTTCTCCACCTCTTGGAAAAAGTGCTCAAGCTTACAGACAGACTCCTTCCTTCCTTCCCTCAGCATCCACTGCCAGTGGGCTTGTTCAGCACTGACATTAGTGAGCAGGCAGAGGCTGGGCCTTCCACTTTACTCAACAATCCTCCTTGCATAAGCCCTTACTTCCGTTTCCTCTTCCCCTTGCAAGAACTCTCATGCACACCCATGGATTAATCACCACTTGCACACTGGTGACTCCCACAACTTCATCTCTAGCTCTGACCTTGTCTCTAAGTCTCAGACTCATAGATCCAACAACCTGCTGAATAGACAGACATGCACATAAACATACAGATGTTTCTTAGACACCTCAAGTCAGTATGTCCAAGACTGAATTCACCATCTTTTTTCCCCACCAAATCGGCTTCTCTTCTCATATCCCAAACTTGGGTGATGGCTTAACGTCCAGTCACCCAGAAAGCCAGAATCCTGGGAGCCATTCTGGACTCTTCTCCCCTCACCATTGCCCCCAAAGACACCAAAATTCTGCTAAATTTGCTTCCCCAAGTATCCTGGTATTTTCTCTTTCCCTTCTGTGCCTGCAGCAATGATCTCATTTGGGCTCTCATTGTCTTTTTCCTAAACACTGTGAGGCCTCTAGTCCTGCTGTCCATGAATTCTTCTTCCACCCCGCAGCCAGTCATCCACCTTCCGTGTATATCTGACTACCCTACTGGAGGATGGAAAATGTTCCATTGGCTAACCAGCAGCCTGTGGAGGGGTCCACATCCCCTTGCATTGTGTATACCTGAATGTGGCTCCTCTCCAGCGTCACCTCCCAATTCTTCCCACCGTGAACCTGACAGTGTCCCCTTTGCTGATGTTGTCCCCTCTAAATTGCATGTCCTTTTCATTCCTCTTACTTGGTTTCTGTTTTTAGGCCTTATCTCCTGCAGGAAGCCTCTGTGAGTCTCCAGGCTGGGCTAAGTGCCCCACCTGTGTGTTTTCAAAGGACCTTATACATACCATGATTTTTATCACTTACCATGTTATATTAAAATTATATAGTGACATATGTCTTGCCCATTAGTCTACAGAATCTTCAAGAGCAGAGACCTTATCATCTCCATCATAAACTAGCACAAGCTTGATATATAATAATAGTTCTTAAACTGAACTGAACTGATGAGCTTAGCCTTAATCTTGAATCAAGAGAACACCATCTCCTAAATCTAGCCATTGGTAAAATTGTTGGTACCATCACTATTTTCGTACAGTTCTTAGAGCTAGGTAAGTCCTTTGATTTCTACTACTGTATCTCACAGACTAGCATATGTGCGAATCCTCTCCCCCCAGATGATATCTGAAATCACAAGATGAACATAATCCTGGAGTATCAATTTCACCTGAAGATTCTGGAAAAATGATTTTCATTTGAAAACAGATACAGACATATTTTGGGGTAGCATAAATTTTTTAGTATTAAGAGAGACTGCACTTATGTCAGGCTGTTCTCAGCCAAGTCTCCAGGTCCCTGGGAGTTTAGATTCTATTGTTAGTGCTGATGATTAAGAAACACTAATCTACAGATCACTGTTTTGCACTGTAGTTTAGTTACTGTTCTAAAGCCTCCCATAGAGAAATAAACAGCCCCAGTGAGACCAGAGCAGGAGCTATCTCAGTAATGGCCAGAAGAGAGAGACTTTCATCATGGGTCTGAGTTAGGTTTGAAAAGATGTCTGTCTGATTGACAGGTAGGTATTCTGAAATCAGCATAACAATGTGCTTTGTATAATGTATAAAATATGCCAGATTGTAGATCAATGTAGGGGAGGAGGCAGAAAAATGACCATTAGAACAGATCAAAGAGAAGCTCTGGATCAAAGTAGAGGCCGATCAAAGACACTGGAAGGAAGGGAAGGGCACTACAGTCAAGGGATGGAACATGAGGAAAAAAATAATCCAAACTGAACTGTGGCTCAGGAGGGACTCGATGCAGGGTGGTTGGTGATAACCTAAGAAATAATTAGATATTTAGTAAGGTGATATGGGAGTTTTGAATCCTGGAAATTCGACTTAGAGTCCTAGTAGTTAGATATCTTTCAAGTTTGTTTTCTTATAGCTATTCCATACCATCAGATTTGAGAATGAGGTAGCATCATCCAAGAGGTGGTGACATAAAAAGACGTAAGAGAAACAGAGGAAATAGCAAGGGGACAGGTAGGAAGGGCTAGTTTAAAACAGATAATAGGGTCAATTTAAGTCAACTAACATTTATCAAGTGCCTATTATGCATAAGGCACTATTCTGGGTGATGGAGTTGCAGAGGTGACAAGCCTGGGCCCGTGCTGTCAGGGAGTTTGCAGTCTTTGTTGAAGTCGCCTAAGAAGGAAAAGCTAACAGCAAAAAATCCAGGGTCTAATGGGCAGGCTTTCCAAGTGAGAGGCCTTAGGAAGCTAAAGCAGGAACCATTCCTATCAAACGTAGTATCTGTTCCCTTCACGTGATCTAAACCTTTCCCAGGGAAAAAAAAAAAAAAAGATGAATCTGCTCCAAGTTTTGATGATCACTGTGGGGCTGTACAAGGGAAAAATTGCATGGATTTGGAGGGTTACCTTCAAGGGCAGAAATTCTGTCCCAAATTCTAGAGGTATTAGAAAAATGTTTTCCCAATATAATCGATATTTTGCAAATGGTTATCAAAAAGTAAATTAGTTGTACATGTATTCAAAGAGTTTTCATTCCTTGGTATCTCAGAGCTTTTTCAATAGAAAAGAAAATGTGGAGAACATCAGCAACTTCAAAGTGGAGGCAGAGTCAAGGACACATTTCCCATTTTGAATCCTAGACCTCCACCTATCCACCTTACAACAAGAACCTCTGCTGTTAAGCAGATGACATAATAAATACATCTAAGTTATTATGTGACTTTTCTCAAACAGGAATAAATGGCTAGAAATGAGATCTTTCTACAGAGAAACCCATTATATGTACTAGAAAGCACTAGAGACAGGCGATAAGCCATCAAGAAGGCTTTCTCTGCCTAACCACCCTACAATGAAGCCAGCCAACTTACAAACCATGCTCACAGATGACGCACAGCATCCCTAAACATGTATAAAACTTCCAACATGAAAGGCAGGCCAAAAGCAACATTAAAAGTCACTTTGAAAATAGACACAGACATTGTAGGTAGCTGAAGAAAACTTTTAAAATGTAGAAAAAGTACTGAGTTAATATTCTCAGAGAAATAAGAGAAGATACTGCATTCATGAAATGAGAACAGGATACTGTAAAAACCATTTAGAAGACCACACCTCTCGCCAATAAAAGCTCCTGATAATTAAAAATGTAATGGTAGAATGTAAACATTTAATAGCAGTGTTGGAAGATTTATTAGAACTAAAAAACATGGGATTTTTTTAAAATAAAAAAGATAAAATCACAAGACAAATCCAAGAGATCCCATTTTCAGATTCAGTCTAAGTAATTTAAGTTTCAGAAAGAAAGAACGAGAAAATTATATAACAGAAGAAAACCACTCAGAACCGAAGAATGTAATTTTTGGATTGAAAAGACCTATAAAATACCTAGGACAGTGACTGATACCTCCCTGTATCTCCCTGCCAAAAAACCCCACCCCAACATTAAATAACAGCATCATGAAATATCAGAATATGAACAACAAAGAAAACCCTACAAATGCCCAGAGATTAAAACAAAATACAAGGGATCAGGAATTAGAATGGCATCAGCTTCTCAACAGCACCATAAGAAAATAGAATAAAATAGAGCAATGTTTTCAAAATTCGGACAGGAAATGATTTCTGATTAATATCCCATACCCAGCCAAACCAGCAATCAAGTGTGAAGGAAGAAAAGTGACATCTTAAATGGGCACAAGCTCAAAAAGCAACCGCCTCTTATGGGGCCTGAATCTTAGACACTTTTGGGAGCCTTCTTTAAGAAAAAGGCGTAAAATTACAAAAACTGTACATAATTGGGTATGAAAGTACATATGTATTCCACAAGAGATGGCCTAGACAGAAAAAAAAGTGCGTATGTATGTATGTATTTAGAATGAGAAAATAAATCACAACAGACAGGGACCGTGGAGGTTCTAGACTCTGTCTTTTCAGATGTGCTTAGAAAATTTACCCCAAATGCTTCTTGATGGCAGCCTGGCTTTTCCTCCCCACTCAACAGCTCCATGCAATTAGTAGCACTCAGAGGGCCCCCATGAGTTTCCTTGGCTCCAGGAAATGAGTTCTTGGAGATGAGTTCTCAAACAAACAACTAAAGAAAATGTAGCAATTCCTACACCCCATTCCATGGGGTGGGGGGAAAGACTGGTCAAGAAGGGGAATGTAAAGATCATGGTGTGTCATGTGCCTTAGTTGGGAATAATATACACACCAAACATTGACATATCAAAAATTTAGGATATAACCGTATTGGGAACTTAAAAGAAAGGGATGTGAAGGTGAGAGGGAGGGTGGGGGTGTAAAGGAGCAAACCGTCATCCTTCTTGGTAGGATGTCAATAGATGTTACCCAGAACTGGAAAAGAGAAGAAGAAATGGCCCGTATTTGCATGCTATTTAGGATATGGTAATATCAGAAAAACACAACCCAAAGCATTGAAAGTAATTGCCACTAGGGTTCTATACTCAGTATAAACTCAATAAAAACCTTCTACAATGAACGACTTCTAAGGCTATACATTGATTTATGTTGACCAAAGTAGAAAATTAAAAAATAAAGTAATATCCTCAAGAGGAGTGAGGCAAAAAGCTAACGGAAATAAAATAAAGGCACTTCTGCTAAACTACCCGACATTCGGTGTTTCTCAAAATGTATTCCCGCAACCACCTGCCCTCAGATGACCTGGCGTGCCCGTCCGGAATGGAGATTTATAGACCCAGCCCAGACCTACATCATCAGCAGTTCTCAGAGTGGTCCTTGCACTCTACCATTTAAAAAAGTTCCTCTAGACCCACTGCATTACCCATTGCTTTTTAGTAAAACAAACAAAAAACCAAAACAAATAACAACCTATTTAGAGATAGGATCTACGACTCATAAAACACACTATGGCAGATGCTGCTAGCTGCCTACCCAATGTTCATTCTCCCCCCTGCCTTATTAACAAAATTCCTATTTTGTTATTATTACTATTTTTTGAGATGGAGTTTTGCTCTTGTTGTCCAGGCTGGAGAGCAAGTGGCATGATTTCGGCTCACTGCAACCTCTGCCTCCTGGGTTCAAGCGATTCTCCTGCCTCAGCCTCCTGAGTAGCTGGGACTATAGGCACCTGCTAGCATGCCTGGCTGATTTTTTGTGTTTTTAGTAGAGATGGGGTTTCACCATGTTGGCCAGGCTGGTCTTGAACTCCTGACCTCAGGTGATCCACCCGCCTTGACCTCCCAAAGTGCTAGAATTACAGGCGTGAGCCACTGTGCCTGGCCCAAAATTCTTACTTTGATGTATTGGCATCGTGTCCGTCTAAAACACTAGATTCTCTCAGGTTCCCTCACCTTTAATAGTGTGTATGTGATATGGTTCTGGCCAATGACATGTAAGAAGTCTTTTGGGGTGGGCTACCAGAAAAGCTATTATTATTATTATTTATTATAAAGAAGGACAAGCCAGGCGCGGCGGCTCACATCTGTAATCTCAGCACTTTGGGAGGCCGAGGGGGGCAGATCACAAGGTCAGGAGTTCAAGACCAGCCTGACCAACATGGTGAAACCCCGTCTCTACTAAAAATACAAAAATTAGCTGGGCGTGGTGGTGCACGCCTGTAATCCCAGCTACTTGGAGGCTGAGGCAAGAGAATCACTTGAACCCTGGGAAGCGGAGGTTGCAGTGAGCTGAGATTGTGCCACTGAGTGAGACTCCATCTCAAAAGAAAGAAAGAGACGAGAGAGAGACAGAGAGAGAAAAGAAAAGAAAAGAAGAGAGAAAAGAAAAGAAAAAAAAAGACAAGACAAGACAAGACTCTTCTGGAGCATGCCTCTGCCCGTCTTTCTGCTGCAACTTGGGGAAGTGAGGATGAGAGCTCCATGCTAAGGAGGGTGGTGCGGGAAGACACAAGGAACCTGTCTCAGATGAGTTCATATCGGAACCCCTTTCCCAGCCTCAGGCTTCTCACCTCCAGACTTCTCCTTCTCTGAGAAAAACAAACTCCTTACTTGTTTAAGCCGTTGTAGTAGGGTTTTCTGTTCTTGTAGCTGAATGAACTTCTAATGACATGTCATACTTTTTCAGATGTTTATCTGACATACTGACCACATTTTATGTATGCCTGCTATGGGCACTGTGCTAGGAATAAGACAAGTAAAGCTCTGTTTGTCATGGAACCAGGAGAACAGTTAGAACAGAAGTTAGAACTTTAGCCACTATAATAACGGCTACAGTTAGAACAGAAGGTACATAGGCATTTCAGGCTGGGATTCAGGGAGGTTATGTTTGCTGTCACAGACCTCAAACCAAAAGAGTACATCAAAATAAGTCACTGGATTTATACATTTGGCAAATTCTCAAGAGACCACATGACAGAAGGAGCAATAATCTGAACATTGCTTTTAGCTGTAATTCTCCAATGAAGTAGATTTGGGGAAGCAACATGAGGTACTTGCTTTATTTTTTTAAATCCGTTTTTTTTCTTTGAAAAACCACAAGATTGGACTTGACAATCTTTAAGGTTATACCCAGCTCTAAGATATTTTTGTAATTATATGGAACAAAGATGGACATGAAATATACCAAATGAGAGTTTCTAAATTTAGATTCTGACAGTTCAAGTCAGAAAACATATTAAGTGTTCAGGAAAAACAAATCACAATCTTCCATCACAAAATTCAACAAGAACAACAAAAACCACTCCAGAGGCAGCTGTGGTATTCTGGAAGGAATGCTGGTTTGAGCTCCGGCTCTGCCATTTAATTCCTGGCTAACCCTGGACCACATACACAATATCTCTGTTTCCATCTCCTCATTTTTGAAATACGGATTCTAATCTTGCCTGAACAGTGCTGTTTACAAACATCGCCTTGTGCTCTATAAAGCCCCATTACGATTTCAACAACCAGCAAGATAATGGCTTATGATATCTAAGTCCTGGCAAGGAGAATGCAGGTGTGTACCTTGCTATATTCAGTTGAACTCTGCATCACATACAGAAGGCTGATAGACCTTTTAGCTTTCCTTTTTCCTCCAGCGGTGTAGTTTGTGGTCATTTAGTTTTTACACAAGAGAACAGAAAAGAGAGATAAAATTCGCTAAAATTCAGATAGTCTCTTTGTGTTTGTTTCTAGCCTCAGTGAAGGTTTCGGGGAGAGGGCTGGCTGGTTAAAAGGGTAGAAGCTTAAGAGTTCAAAGAAAGTGTGAGGAGGACAGCACTCACCTGTGGCCTCTAATTGTTCATATTCAGTATGGTCTCATACTGGGAATAATCTAGTGTTTGTCTTATGATCTGTCTACACAAACAAATATGGAATGTGTCTATAAGTACCACTAGTTGACACACTAGTGACTTTAATTCTCTTACAATAAAATGTTTTGCAATAGCAAGGACTTTGGCTAGGGGAGTGACTCTGTGTGGTGAAACTGTCCTCACCCATTTTACATTTGAGGAAAAGAGATAATCTTTTGATCACACCCAACACAGTTAACATCTGTACTTTGAACAGCTAAGTATAGCAGCTGATGTTTAACTGAAGGTAGGGGGGAGATGAGAAACAGAAACAACTGGTGCCAAATGTGAGATTCAATAACTTCGCCTCGGCCATCACAACCAACATCAACCAGAAGGGTGCGGGAGGAACTCACGGAATAAATGGGAACAGGTGTGGCCTGAGGATAAGTAAGTGGGGGCACTGTTTCCTTCTTCATGAAGATGTGAGAGGAAATCAAAGCTCTTTAAAAAGAAGGAAGTGGAATGCTTGGCTCCTGTAATATCAGAACAAATAATGCACAGCCAGAGGTCATGCCTCACCTTTTGCTTATCTCAGGCACCTCTGCTTGTAAAATCAGTGGGCCATATTCAATGAAACCTTCATTTCAGTTCCATATCTTTTCCCAGAAACCCCAGGAACAGAGCGAGCCAATATCCTTATTAAACCAAGAAGCTCGCAGTCACGAAGAGCTAAGTCTGACGCCACTGGGCCCCTACCTAACCACGTGTCCTGATTCTTTCCGTAATTTCCCACTGCACAACACCCAGGTTATACTGAAAATATAACACATCTGGTTAAAAACAGTACACGTTTCTCATGAACAATAAGCCATCCTTTCTATAAAATCAGTGTAAAATTGCAGGTAAAATGCTGTAGGCAGATCTGTTTGGAAGGCTATGCCACCCTAGGAGACAAAAAGGTGCGGGAGGAGGAAAACGGCAGACACGGCAGAAAGCAGTCGAAGAGAACGTGAAAGAAGTGGCCATTTCTGCAACTTTTAGGAGAGCTACCTGCCCTCAAATTTTGAAAGGGTTTCTATTTCTTAAAGTGCTAGGTTTCCCTGGCTGAAACTCACATCTTTCTTCCCTCTAGGGCTGGATCTAAGCTTCAGAGGTTGTTTCTCTGGCCCTAGACAGGGCCACCCCCGCAAATTTCTCCCCCACTGCGCCTGACATCCGCTTCCATCCATGGCTCCATTAACGGAAGCTAAGCACTGGATCGGGGGACTTTATCCACCGCCCAATGTTATTAGATTCCAGGCTTCCTGGCCTCAGGAAAGGATCTGGCTCATGTATTTGTGTATCGCAGCTAACAAGGAAAGGCAGTCGGGGTACCAGTGCCCAGAGCTATGTGAGCTGTGACTGGACACAGCTCAGGGGCCAGGTGGCATCCACGGGGGCGCGCGTTCCCGGACTCACGGGGCAGACGGAGGCCCGGGGCTTCACACCTTCCCCTCACCCTGCAACGCGGCAGACCTGACTCGCGGGGGACTGAGCAATATTCATTCCAGGGCCGCGGCCAGCCGGACATAGGCACTCGGGGGCGGTGGGAGTAGTGTGCGCATCGGTGCCGCAGCCCGGAGGGGGCCCCAGGTGGGCTTCTGCGACACCAGGGCCCTCCATCCCCTCCCGTCCTCCCCTAGAGGAGCCTCCATCCCTGTCCCTGAGCCCCTCCCAGTCGGTATCCCCTCCCTGTCCGCGTACCCTCCCCCGCAGGTCCCATGCGAGTCGGAACCCCCTCTCCATCACAGCCCCGCTCCTTGGCGGGGCTCCCTCTCCCTTCGAGCCCTCCTCCAGTTTCAAGCCCCCTGCGGGTACTGACGTCTGACCTGTGCCCAGCGCCTCGCAGCCGTCTGCATCCCGCGCCGCTCGCCAAGTGCGTCCACCCAGAAGCGGGTGCAGCTCCAGGCCCGCCCCGCCCCGCTGCGCCCCGCCCCGCTCCACTCTGCCAGGCCTGGCAGCCGCCAGACCCTTTCCACACTTGACCGCCCTTCCCGGTCCCGGCCAGCGTGCGGGGCATCTGTCGTCAGGTCCGCACATCCTCCAGGCCCTTGACCTTCCCTTGGAGATGTCTCTGGCCCCAGGAACTCCCTAGGCTGTGTGCTTCAGGAGAGGCTGGTTCCTGAGTCACCCAGGAGGACTGCAACCAACCGGGACCTCCTGGGATGCAAAGAGATCGCAGGGCCTGGGAGGCGGCGAGGAGCCCGAGCACAGGCTGTGGCTCTGAAGAGTGTTTGTTACCAAGCCAGGCAACCACTGCGAACACACCGGAGAAACAGCCACAGATCACCGTCCAGCAAAGGAAGAAGGCACCAACGGTCCATCAGGGACCACAACCCAGTTTTTCTAGTTTAAGTTTGGTGGCTAAGTTTGAGTGTCACATAGTTCATTCATTCCTTCATTCATTCAACAAATCTGCCACGTTCCCATCTGATAACAGATCTGACAGGTGGGCACAGTTCTAGGTGCTGGCAATAGAGCTGAGAAGGAAACAAAGTCCCTGTCCCGGAGAAGGGGGCTTCCTGCTGAGGAGCGCATGACTTTCTTTGTGGTATTGTGCTGTGGCAGCGGGGTCCTCTTCTGTAAGCTACTGAGAGGTGAAGCTGGCTGGGCTTCTGGGTCTGATGGGGACTTGGAGAACTTTTCTGTCTAGCTAAAGGATTGTAAAAGCATCAATCAGCGCTCTGTGTCTACGCTCTGTGTCTAGCTAAAGGTTTGTAAACACACCAATCAGCACTCTGTGAAAATACACCAATCAGTGCTCTGTGTCCAGCTAATTGGTGGGGACTTGGAGAACTTTTCTGTCTAGCTAAAGGATTGTAAAAGCATCAATCAGCGCTCTGTGTCTAGCTAAAGGTTTGTAAACACACCAATCAGCACTCTGTAAAAATGCACCAATCAGTGCTCTGTGTCCAGCTAATTGGTGGGGACTTGGAGAACTTTTCTGTCTAGCTAAAGGACTGTAAATGCACCAATCAGCACTCTGTGTCTAGCTAAAGGTTTGTAAACACACCAATCAGCACTCTGTAAAAACGGACCAATCAGCACTCTGTAAAATGGACCAATCAGCACTCTGTAAAATGGACCAATCAGCAGGATGCAGGCGGGGCCAATAAGGGAATAAAGGCTGGCCATCGCGGCCAGCTTCCCCGTTCGGGTCCCCTCCCACATTGTGGGAGATTTGTTCTTTCCCCTTTTGCAATAAATCTTGCTGCTGCTCACTTTTTAGGTCCACACTACCTTTATGAGCTGTAACACTCATGGTGAAGGTTTGCAGCTTCACTCCTGAAGCCAGCCAGACCAGGAACCCACCATGAGAAACAAACAACTCTGGAGCCGCCATAAGACTCACTGTGGCTTTAAGAGCTATAAGACTCACTGTGAAGGTCTGCGGCTTCACCCCTGAAGTCAGCCAGACCACGAACCCACCGGGAGGAACAAACAACTCCGGACGCACCACCTTTAAGAGCTGTAACGCTCACTGCAAAGGTCTGCGGCTTCACTCATGAAGTCGTGCATAGACCACGAACCCAGTAGAAGGAAGAAACTCCTGACACATCTGAACATCTGAAGGAACAAACTCTGGACACACCGTCTTTAAGAAGTGTAACACTGCGAGGGTCCGCGGCTTCATTCTTGAAGTCAGCGGCACCAGGAACCCATTGGAGGGAACCAATTCCGGACACACAGCCTCGTGGAATGGTTCTGCACAGTGTGTGTGTGTTTCCCGTCAACCCTGTGCACACTATTAAAAGAACACAAGCGCTAAGCCTCCCTCTCAGACCTACTGGTAAGAATCCAGGGCTGATGCACCTATTAAAAGCTTCTCAGGAGGCCGGGGGAAGTCGGGATTGAGAACCACGGGTCTAGATCTCCAAGATGCCTGGCAGTTTATCCCACTGTTGAGGGCACTGGCAATCAGGAAGGGCTTCATGGAAGAGATGTTCGTATTTGGGTTTTAAAGCAGGGCCACAGATAGATATTAGCAGTGCAGAAGGACACAGGATCTGATGGGCAGCCTCTTGACCAAATGGCTCTCCCTTTCTATAAAGTCAAAGAAAATCACTGTGAAGGATAAAGCATTAGCTGGAGCAGATCTTTCCCTGGTAAAACAAAGTGAATGGGATCTGGTGGGAGGTGGTAATGGCCAAGAGGTAGTGTCATCAGTTAAAAGCATAATGGAGTTGTGCACCTTAGAGGGAGGATGGGCCGCAGCCAGGAGCTGGGAGGGCATCTTTTAAATTTGCTGTCAGCTCAGAAACTTAATCACACGTCTCATCCTAGCACTTGCTCACAACCTTTGTTTTAGAAATCGTTGATGGAGTGGAGTCCTGGATGCCTGTTACCCTGGGAGAGGCTATCCTCTGTCACCAGATCCCTTTTATGGACAGCCATTTTCTTTTTTAATATTTACCTTGCCTACCATGGTGAAACAAAGGTGTGACCTTTTAATTGTATAGTTCAATCGTGAGTAGAGATGCTTTTATTTATTTATTTTTTTTGAGACGGGAGTTTTGCTCTTGTTGCCCAGGCTGGAGTGCAATGGCTCGATCTCGGCTCACCACAGCCTTGACCTCCTGGGTTCAAGTGACTCTCCTGTCTCAGCCTCCTGAGTAGCTGGGATTACAGGCATGTGCCGCCAGGCCCGGCTAACTTTGTATTTTTAGTAGAGTTGGGGTTTCTCCATGTTTGTCAGACTGGTCTTGAACTCCCGACCTCGGGTGATCTGCCCACCTGGGCCTCCTAAAGTGCTGGGATTACAGGTGTGAGCCACCTCGCCTGGCCGAGATGCTTCTTAATATTAAAAAATCTAAACAAAATAATTTCTGCTTCAAATTATAATAATCAGGTACCAGGACAAAACCAGTTTGTGTGTGTGTGTGTGTGTGTGTGTGTGTGTGTTTGAGACAGGGTCTCACTTTGTTGCCCAGGGTGAAGTTCAGTGGTGCAATCATAGCTCACTGTAGCCTTGACCTCCAACGCTCAAGAGATACTCCTGCCACAGCTTCCTAAGTAGTTGGGACTACAGGTGTACATCAACACGCATGGCTAACGTTTACATTTTTAAAAATTTCAATAGTTTTTGGGGAACAGGTCATTTTTTGTTACACGGATAAGTTCTTTAGTGGTGATTTTTGAGATTTTTGTGTACTCATCACCTGAGCAGTGTACACTGTACCCAGTGTATAGTCTTTTATCCCTCACCCTCCTCTCACTTACCCCTGAGTCCCCATAGTCCATTATATATATTTTTTTTTTTATTTTTTTTTTTTTTGAGACAGAGTCTTGCCCTGTCACCCTGGCTGGAGTGCAGTGGTGCAATCTCAGCTCACTGCAACCTCTGCCTCCCAGGTTCAAGTGATTCTCCTGCCTCAGCCTCCCGAGTAGCTGGGACTACAGGCACGTGCCACAACGACTACTTTTTGTATTTTTAGTAGAGACAGGGTTTCACCATGTTAGCCAGGATGGTTTCAATCTTCTGGCTTCATGATCCACCTGCCTTGGCCTCCCAAAGTGCTGGGATTACAGGTGTGAGCCACTGCGCCTGGCACATTATATCATTCTTATGCCTTTGCGTCCTCATAGCTTAGCAAACCCTTATAAGTGAGAACATATGATATTTGGTTTCCCATTCCTGAGTTACTTCACTTGGAATAATGTTCTCCAACTCCCGTACAAATTGCTGCAAATGCCATTACTTCATTCCTTTTTATGGCTGAGTAGTAGTCCATGGTGTAAATATATCACATTTTCTTTATCCACTTGTCAGTCGAGGGGCATTTAGGCTGGTTCCATATTTTTGCAATTGTGAATTCTGCTCCTATAAACAAGCAGATGCAAGTGGCTTTTTCATATGATGACTTCTTTTCTTCTGGGTAGATACTCAATAGTGGGACTGCTGGATCAAATGGTAGTTTTACTTTTAGTTCTTTAAGGAATCTCCATAAAGTTTTCCACAGTGGATGTACTAGTTTATATTCCCACCATCAGTGTAAAAGTGCCCTTTTCATCACATCCATGCAAACATCTACTATTTTTTGACTTTTTAAATTATGGCCAGTCTTGCAGAAGTAAGGTGGTATTTCATTGTGGTTTTAATTTGCATTTCCCTGATAATTAGTGATGTTGAGCATTTTTTTTCATGTGTTAGTCATTTCGTTATCTTCTTTTGAGAACTGTCTATTCATGTTCTTTGCCCACTTTTTGATGGGATTATTTCTCTTTTTCTTGCTGATTTGAGTTCCTTGTAGATTCTGTAGGACGCATAGTTTGTGAATATTTTCTCCCATTCGGTGAGGTGTCTGTTTACACTGCTGATTATTTATTTTGCTGTGCCGAAGTGTTTTAATTTAATTAGGTAATATCTGTTTATTTTTGTTTTTGTTAGATTTGCTTTTGGGTTTTTGGTCTTGAAATCTTTGCCTAAGCCAGTGTTTAGAAGAGTTTTTCCAATGTTATCTTCTAAAGTTTTTGTGGTTTCAGGTCTTACATTTAAGTCTTTGATCCATCTTGAGTTGATGTCTGTATAAGGTGAGAGATGAGGATCCAGGTTCATTCTTCTGTATGTGACTAGCCGGTTATCTCAGCACCATTTGTTGAATAGGGTGCCCCTTCCCAATTTGCGTTTTTGCTTTCTTTGTTGAAGATCAGTTGGTTGTATTTGGCTTTATTTCTGGGTTCTCTGTTCTGTTCCATTGATCTATGTGCCTACTTTTATATTGGTATCATGCTGTTATGGTACTGGTATAAATCTTGTAGGATAGTTTGAAGTCAGTTAATGCGATGCCTCCAGATTTTTTTTGCTTAGTCTTGCTTTGGCTATGTGGGGTCCTTTTTGGTTCCATATGAATTTTAGAATTTTTTTTCTAGTTCTGTGAAGAATGATGATGGTACTTTGATGGGAGTTGCACTGAATATGTAGATTGCTTTTGATAGTATGGGCGTTTTCACCATATTGATTCTACCCATCCATGAGTTTTGTCATGTTTCCATTTGTATATATACGTATATATATGTGTGTGTGTGTGTGTGCGTGTGTGTGTGCATGTGTGTGTGTGTGTGTATGTGTGTGTGTGTGTATATATATATATATATATATATATATATATATATATATATATGATGGAATACTACACAGCCCAGGCTGTTGCCCAGGCTGGAGTGCAATGGTGAGATCTCGGCTCACTGCAACCTCTGCCTCCCAGGTTTAAGCGATTCTCCTGCCTCAGCCTCCCAAGTAGCTGGGATTACAGGCACCTGCCACCACACCTGGCTAATTTTGTATATATACATATATACAAATGTCAGTTTCCATTTGTTTGTGTCATCAGTGATTTCTTTCAGCAGTGTTTTGTAGTTTTCCTTGTAGAGGTCTTTTACCTCCTTGGATATATGTGTGTGTATATATATATATATGTCATAGATAGTTTTTATTACCATGAGGTATGTCCCTTCCATGCCAATTTTTCTGAGGGTTTTAATCATAAAGCGATGCTGAATATATATAATATATATATTATACATATATATAATATATTTTATATATATATATATATGGCAGCTGTTGTAAAAGGGATTGAGTTCTTGATTTGTTTCTCACCTTGGTCGTTGTTGGTATATAGTGGTGTTACTGACTTATGAACATTGATTTTTGTATCCTGAAACTTTACTGAATTCATTTATCCAATCTAGGAGCCTTTTGGATGAGTCTTCAGAGTTTTCTAGGTATACAATCTTATCATCAGTGAACTGCAACAGTTTGACTTCCTCTTTACTGATTTGGATGCCCTTTATTTCTTTCTCATGTCTGATTGCTCTGGCTAGGACTTCCAGTACTATGTTGAATAGAAGTGGTGAAAGTGAGCATCCTTGGCTTGTTCCAGTTCTCAGGGGGAATGCTTTCAACTTTTCCCTGTTGAGTATGTTAGCTGTCGGTTTGTCATAGATAGCTTTTATTACCTTGAGGTATGTCCCTTCCATGCCAATTTTTCTGAGGGTTTTAATCATAAAGCAATGCTGAATTTTGTCAAATGCTTTTTCTGCATTGATTGGGATAATAATATGATTTTTGTTTTTAATTCTGTTTACTGGGCATAATATCACATTTATTGACTTGTATATCCCTGCATCCCTGGTATGAAACCCACTTGGCTATTGCTGTCTTATCTTTAAAAATTTTTTTTTTCATAAGTTATTGGGGTACTGGTGGTATTTGGTTACACGAGTAAGTTATTTAGTGGTGATTTGTGAGATTTTGGTGCACTTATCACCCGAGCAGTATACACTGCACCATATTTGTAGTCTTTTATCCCTTGACCCCCTCCTACTTTTCTCCCCAAGCCCCCAAAGTCCATTGTATCATTCTATGCCTTCGCATCCTCATAGCTAACTCCCACATATCAGTGAGAACATATGATGTTTGGTTTTCCCTTCCTGAGTTACTTCACTAGAATAATAATCTCCAGTCTCATCCAGGTCACTGCAAATGCTGTTAATTCATTCCTTTTCATGGCTGTGTAGTATTCCATCATACACACACACACACACACACACACACACACACACACACGCACATATGTATACGTATAAAAAACCACAGTTTTTTTTATCCACTCATTGATCAGTATTTGAGTTGGTTCCACAATTTTGCAGTTGTAAATTATGCTGCTATAAACATGCATGTGCAAGTATCTTTTTCAAATAACGACTTCTTTTCCTCTGGGTAGATACCTAGTAGTGGGATTGCCAGATCAAATGATAATTCTACTTTTAGTTCTTTAAGGAATCTCCACACTGTTTTCCATAGTGGTTGTACTAGTATACATTCCCACCAGCAGTGCGGAAGTGTTCCTGGTTCACTGCATCCATGCCAACGACTACTGTTTTTTTTATTATGGCCATTCTTGCAGGAGTGTCTTTTGGAAGACAATTCTTGGTCTGCTACTGGGCCTTAGTAGAGACTGAATGTTTGACCATTGGCTGCCAAGTTACCATGCAACCTGAGCTGCCCATCATGAACTGACTGTTATCTGATCCACCAAGTCATAAAATTTGGCATACACAGCACTCCATCATCAAATGGAAATAGTACATACATGATCTGGTTGGAATAGGCCCTGAAGGCACATGTAAGTTACATGAAAAAGTGACCCAAATGCTCATGGTATCTACTTTTGCAACACTGCCTTCTCTCTCACTGCCTGCACCTTTGGTGTTACCAGGAGTTCCCTATGATCAATCGATAGGAGAAGACTCAGGCCTGGTTTGCAGATGGTTCTGCACAATATGCAGACACGACAGCTGCAGTACTAGAACCTCTTACTGGGATATCCCTGAAAGACAGCTGTGAAGGGAAATCCTCTTACTGGTCAGAACTTTGAGCAGAGCATCTGATTGTACACTTTTATTGGAAGAAGAAATGGCCAGACCTGTGATTATATATCAGTACAGACTGTGGCCAATGGTTTGGCTGGATGTTCAGGGAATTG
Source organism: Homo sapiens (assembly GCF_000001405.40). Lineage (NCBI taxonomy): Eukaryota > Metazoa > Chordata > Mammalia > Primates > Hominidae > Homo > Homo sapiens. Next base: position 33,743,068 of record NC_000009.12, on the reverse strand, counting down.
AGAGGAACATGATTGGAAAATTGGTGACAAATTTAAGGAAGAGGTATATGGACAGACTTCTCTGAGTGGGCAAAACACATGGTGATATTTGTGTCCCATGTGAATACTCACAAAGGGAATTTTAATAATCAAGTGGACAAGATGACCCATTCTGTGGATACTGGTCACCCTTTTTTCCCAGCTACCTCTGTCATTGCCTAATGGTCTCATGAACAAAGTGACCATGATGGCAGTGATAGCGGTTATGCTTGGGGAAGTAACGTGGACTTCCACTCAACAAGGCCAATCTGGCTTACAGTTACTGCTGAAAGTCCAATCTGCCAACAGCAGAGAGCAACATTGAGTCCCTGATATGGCCAACATTGAGCAGAGACCAACATCAAGTCCCTAGGGTGATCACACAGCCACCTGGTGGTAGGTTGATTATGTGGGGACATTTTCATCATAGAAGGGACACTGTTTGTTCTTAATGTAATAGACACTTACTCTGGATATTGTTTTGTCTTCCCTGCACACAATGCTTCTGCCAAAACTACCATCCATGGGCTTATAGAATGCTTTATTCATCATTGTAGTATTCCACATTGCATTGTTTCTGATCAAGGAACTCACTTTACAGCAAAAGAAACAGAGCAACGGACCCATGCTCGTGGAATTTGCTGGTCTGATTATCTTCCCCATCATCCTGAAGCAATTGGCTTGATAAAACAGTGGAATAGCATTTTGAAGTCTCAGTTATGACATCAGCTAGGTGGCAATTTCTTGCAGGGGTGGAGTGAAGTTCCTCAGAAGGCTGTATATGCTATGAATCAGTGTCCAATATAAGATCTTGTTTCTCCTACAGCAAGTAGCATTCACAGGTCAAGAGATCAAAAGACAAAAGTGGGAGTGGCACCACTCACTATTACCCCGAGTGACCCACTAGCAAAATTTTTGTTTCCTGTTCCTGACTTTATGCTTTGCTGACCTAGAGTTCTTAGTTCTAGAGGAAGGGATATTTCCATAAGGAAGGGATATTTCCACCAGGAGACACAATAATGATCCCAAGAACTGAAAGTTAAGACTTCCACCTGGCCACTTTGGGATCCTCATATTTCTCAATTAATAGGTAAAGAAGGGAGTTACAGTGTTGGCTGGGATGATTGGTCCTGACTACCAAGGGGGAAATTGGACTACTATTCCACAATGGAGTTAAGGAAGAGTAAGTATATCCAGAATACAGGAAATTCCTTAGGGTATCTTTAGTATTACCATGCCCTGTGTTTTATGTCAATAGAAAACTACAGCCCGACCAGGCAGGGCTACAAATGGCTCAAACCCTTCAGGAATAAAAGTTGAAGTCACCCTACCAGATAAAGCTGAGGTACTTGCTGAAGGCAATGGGAATACAGAATGGGTAGTGGGAAAAGGTAGTTGTAAATACCAGCCATGACCATGTGGCCAGTTACAGAAACAAAGATGGTAATTGCCATGTCTATTTTCTCCTTATTTTGCTGTAAACACATTTGTGTGTGAATCTTTGTTATCCTTCCACTCTTATTCCCTTATCATGTAACATAAGGTGTATTTATAATATTTTATATCATAGTATTTAAGTATTTTTAATTTAATTTTTTTTTTTTGAGACAGAGTCTGGCTCTGTTACCCAGGCTGTGGTACAGTGGCACGATCTTGGCTCACTGCAACCTCCGCCTCCTGGGCTCAAGCCATCCTCCCACCTCAGCATTCCAAGTAGCTGGGACTACAGGCACACACCACCGTGCCTGGCTAATTTTTGTATTTTTTTTTATAGAGTTGGTGTTTCACCATGTTGCCCAGGCTGGTCTTGAACTTCTGAGCTCAAGTGATCTGCCTGCCTTGGCCTCCCAAAGTGCTGGGATTGCAGGTGTGAGCCACTGCACCCAGCCAAGTGTTATAGTATATCAAAGAGTAAACATGTTTCAAGGATTTTACCTCCTCATCTGGGAAATAAGTTACTGTGTTTTTTATTGTATCCAGGGTAGTATTAAGGTAGGTGGAATTATGACCTATTATTTTTATTTGGAGAATAAGTTTGGTTTGAGGAGATGTGTATGGGTGCCAAGTTGACAAAGGGTAGACTTGTGATAATAAATTTTATGTGTCAACATGACTGGGCTATGGGGTGCACAGGTTAAACATAATTTTTGCTGTGTCCATGAGAGTGCTTCTGGATGGACCCAACCACTGGCTGAATTACAGCACTGGTCTTCCTGGGTCTCTGACTTGCAGATGGCAGATCATGGCACTTTTTGGCCTTCATAACCGTGTGAGCCAATTCTTCATATAAATCTCTCTCTCCCTCTAATATATTTATATATGTAAATATAGTTATATGTTGCCAATATATTTATATTAGTAAAATACTACATATTTACATATATAAATAATACATATACTGGGTATGGTGGCTCACACCTGCAATATATTTTATATGTATAAAATATATATAGTATAATACTAATATAAATACTATATATATATATATCCTATTCCTTCCGTTTCTTTGTAGAACTCTGACTAATACATGTGGGTTTATTTTCATTAAATTTGGAAAAAAAATGGCCATTTTTTTCAAGTATTATTTTCCTCCCCTCTTCTGGATACTCCAGTTATGTATATGTTAGGCTACTTGATATTGTCCCACAACTTATTGATGCTTTGTTTAGTTTTCTTCTGGCTTATATTTTCTCTCAATGTTTAATTTGCATAGTTCCTATTGCTATATCTTCAAATTCACAAATCTTTTCTCCTGTAGCATTTAATCTGCTGTTAATCCTGCCAATGTATTTTTCAGCTTAGTTATTGTATTTTTCATTTCTAGAAGTTTAGTTAGGCATTTCATTTTTCTCCCGACTATACTCATGCTTTCTTGTACTTCTTGAACATATGGAGTGAATTTATAATTCTTGTTTTGATGTCCTTGCCTACAAATTCTAACATCTGAGTCATATATAGGTCTATGTTTATAGAATGATTTTTTTTTTTCTGGTACTGGGTCTTATGTTCCTGCTTATTTGCATACTAGGTAATATTTTATTGAATGCCAGACATTGTACACATTATGTTATTGGGTGCTGGATTTCTAAACATCCCTTTAGGTACTTTACTTTTACACTGAGGGCTAATTTGGCCCCACTGAGGCAATTTGCTTTTGAGAACTGTACCCAATGCCCCACCGTATTAGGAGATCTTCCCAAACCGGCTAGGGAAAACACTATTTCTGGTCCTGTGTGAACTCCTGAAATTGTTCTGCCTACTCTTCTCTGCTGTTCTTTCCCCAGCCTCAGTAGTCTCCTTACACAAGCACATAGCAGTACTCAGCCCAAGTCTTGAGGGACTGCTCTGAAGATCTCTGGAACCCTCACTCTCTGCAGTACTTTTTCTCTGATACTTTGCCTCACAGATTTTTCTCATTTTGCCCTGCTGGAACTCTGAACTTTGTCTCCTTAATCAGTGAGACTGTTGGACTCCTGTTTTGGTTTCTTTTTTCTGTGATCAGCCTGGAAATTCTCCAGGCAGTGAGCTGGGGGTACTTGCAGGCTCATCTCACTTGTCTTTCTCTCAGGGATCACAGTCTTGCACTGCCTGTTGTCCAATGTCTGAAAACTTTCACTTGATATATTTTGTCCAGCTTTTAGTTGTGCAAGGAGGGAAGGTACTTCTAGTCTCTATTATTCCATCATGATTAAAAATAGAATTCTGTTTTGGTAAACAGTTTTCGTCTTGTTTAGGTAGCTTCTGTCTATTCCTATGTTAGTTAAACTTTTTATTAGAATGCTGTTAAATATTAGAGAAACACCTTTATACATTAATTCATAAAATCATGTGGGCTTTCTTCTTTATAAATGTAATGATTTGTGTAGATAGGATTCCTATTGTTGGATAACTTTTGCATTTCTGGAAGGAATCCTCATTGGTCAAGTATTTTACATTATTAAAAACAGTAACAAAATGACTGACATGATGGTAAGTCCCTGGATGACTGGTATGTCACCTTAAGAGCTGCCTGTCTGGATTGGCAACATCCCAAGGGATTCATCACAAAGATTGGCCTGCTGGAACTTAAGCAGCAAAATGAATTTTTTTTCTAATAGAGCTGTTAAAAATTCTGATGGGCTCTTTGACAATTTAAAGGATTCTTTTTTACATTTGGAAGCATCTTTTCATTTTTTAGACTGATTGAAGTTGTCCCACAATGCCCTGATGCTCTTCTCGTTTCTTTTCATTTTTTTTTTTCTCTTTGTATTTCAATTTGGATGGCTTTTATTGCTGTCTTTAAGTTCACAAATCTTTTCTTCTTAGTGTCTAATCTGCTGTTAATCTCATCCAATGTGTTTTCATGTTAGACATTATAGTTTTAATTTCAGAAGTTCAATTTGGGTATTTAAAAAACATCTTCTATAGATCTACCAACACGTTCAGTCTTCTAAATTTTTGATACAATTATATATCAATTACATATATATATACACTATATATCATATAGGATACAATTATAATAACTATTTCCACTAATTCTATAGTCTGTGTCATTTCTGGGTTGTTTTTCATGTTTTTTTCCTTTATATTAAGGGTCATATTTTCCTGTTTTTTTTTTTTTTTTTTTTTTATGCCTGGTAATTTTTTGTTAGATGCAAGACATTGTGATTTTGACCTTGTTGGATGCTGCACCTAAAGGTGGATGGAAGAGGAAGAGTCTTGGGGGCTACCATCCTGGCTGGAGAAGCTGGCACGAGGCTCCCTCTTGTGGATGCAGCAAGGTAAGAAAGTAAAGTGGATGTTCTCTTTTGGAGCAAGCGGCCTCCAGCTCTGCCTGTAGACTGAAACATGCACTTGCATGCTGTGGCTTAGCTGAGGGCTTGTAGCTCAGGACAGAAGCGCTGATGGTGACAAGAGCAGGGGAGTGATACGGGAGAGGTACAGCCCCAGCCCCAGGACACAGCAGATCTCAATATTGGGAAGCAAGGAGTTCAGTATCAGTAAAGTGAGCCATAAGAGAGAAAGGAAAGCAGCTTTGTAGACAGAGGTGGAACCAATTGAAGGGAAGAGGGGAGCTCCTTGCAAAGAACATTGCAGGTAGCGTCTAGAGGCTGTGGGGATCATTCTCAGGCCATCCAAGAACTCTGAGAAGATTTGGGGGAAGCTGGAATTTCACTGTGGTTGCTAGGATGGGCTCAAGCCAGAGGCTATTTTTATTTAAATGCCATTATTTTTGTTTTTATTTTTTGATATTAACCCTGTCAGGTTAGTGAGCCTAGAGAATACCTGTTATAAATGAAATATAATTCTGAAATGTTAATGTGTGGAAGGAACAAGTAAGGCTTGAGAAATATAACCTGGGCATATAATGATGCTAGAGAACTTACAATCTTTGCCTGAAAGTTTTGGATGCACAAAAGTCTGTTATTTTATTTATTTACTTAGTTCTTACTGAGATTGAGACAGTCTTACTGTATAATGCCTAAAGATCTCATGTAAGAGTGATACTAGCTGTTTTTCCCTATTAGTTTCTTTTTCTTTTCTTTCTTTCTTTTTTTTTTTTTTTTTTTGACACAGTCTCACTCTGTCGGCCAGGCTGGAGTGCAGTGGCACGATCTCGGCTCATTGCAACTTCTGCCTCCCGGGTTCATGCCATTCTCCTGCCTCAGCCTCCTGAGTAGCTGGGACTACAGGTGTGTGCCACCACGCCTGGCTAATTTTTGTATTTTTAGTAGAGACAGGGTTTCATCATGTTGGCCAGGCTGGTCTCAAACTCCTGACCTCAGGTAATCCACCCGCCTTGGCCTCCCAAAGTGCTGGGATTACAGACGTGAGCCACCATGCCCAGCCTAGATTCTTTTTTTTAAAAAAATTATTTTATTTCCATAGGTTATTGGGGAGCAGGTGGTGTTTTGTTACATGAGTAAGATCTTTCTTTTTTTCTTTTTTGAGACGGAGTCTTGCTCTGTCGCCCAGGCTGGAGTGCAGTGGCGCGATCTCGGCTCACTGCCAGCTCCGCGTCCCGGGTTCATGCCATTCTCCTGCCTCAGCCTCCTGAGTAGCTGGGACTACAGGGGCCCACCACCACACCCAGCTAATTTTTTGTATTTCTAGTAGAGATGGGTTTCATCATGTTAGCCAGGATGGTCTCGATCTCCTGACCTCGTGATCCACCTGCCTCGGTCTCCCAAAGTGTTGGGATTACAGGCATGAGCCACTGCGCCCAGCCACATGAGTAAGATCTTTAGTGGTGATTTGTGAGATTTTGGTGCACACATCACCCGAGCAGTATACACTGCACCCAAATTGTAGTCTTTTATCCATCACTCCCTTCCCACCCTTTCTCCCTGAGTCCCCAAAGTCCACTGTGTCATTCTTATGTCTCTGTATCCTCATAGCTTAGCTCCCACATATGATTGAGAACATACAATGTTTGCTTTTCCATTCCTGAGTTATTTCACTTAGAATAATGGTCTCCGATCTCATCCAGGTTGCTGTGAATGCCATTAATTCATTCCTGTTTATGGCTGAGTAGTATTCCATCGTATATGTATACTGCAGTTTCTTTATCCACTCATTGATTGATGGGCATATGGGTTGGTTCCACATTTTTACAACTGAGAATTGTGCTGCTATAAACATATGTGTGCAAGTATCCTTTTCATGTAATGACTTCCTCTGGGTAGATACCCAGTAGTGGATACCCTAATATGTTTTCCAAACTTTTAGATTTCTCTTCTTCTTAGGAATGCCGATTATTCTTTGGTTTGGTCATTTAACATAATCCCAGACTTCTTGGAGGCTTTGTTCATATTTTCTTATTCTTTTTTCTTTGTTTTTGTTGGATTATTTTGAAAACCTTGTGTTTGAACTCTGAGGTTCTTTCTCCTGCTCATTCGCTTCTATTGCTGAGACTTCCCAGAGCATTTTGAATTTCTATAACTACATCCGTTGGTTCCTGAAGTTTTGATTACTTTTTACTATATGCTACCTATTTCATTGAAAATTTCTCCCCTTACTTTCTGTATTTTTTTTTTATTTCCTTAAATTGGGCTTTTCCTTTTTCTGGCACCTCTTTGATTAGCTTAATAACTGACCTTAAGAATTTTTTTTCAGGTAAATCAGGGATTTTTTTTTGGTTGGATTCATTGCTGGTGAGCTAGTGTGATTTTTTGGAGGGTATTAAAGAGCCTTGTTTTGTCATATTACCGGAGTTGGTTTCCTAGTTCCTTCTCATTTGGGTAGGCTCTGTCGGAGGGAAGGTCTAGGGCTCAAGGCTGTTGTTCAGATTCTTTTGTCCCACAGGGTGTTCCCTTGATGTAGTACTCTCCCCCTTTTCCTAGGGATGTGGCTTCCTGAGATCTGAGCTGTCGTGAGTATTATCTCTCTTCTGAATTTAGTCACCCAACAGGTCTACCAGGCTCTGGGCTGGCACTGGGAGTTGTCTGTACAGAGTCTTGTGATATGAACCATCTGTGGGTCTCTCAGCTGTGGATACCAATGCCTGCTCTGGTGGAGGTGGCAGGGGGGTGAAATGGACTCTGTGAGGGTCCTTAGTCTTGGTGGTTTAATGCACTGTTTTTGAGTTGGCTGGCTTCCTGCTGGGAGGTGGCACTTTCCAGAGAGCATCAGCTATGGTAGTATGGGAGGGATCAGGTGGTGGGTGGGGCCCTAGAACTCCCAAGAGTATACGCTGTTTGTCTTCAGCTAGCAGGGTGGGTAGGGAAGGACCATTAAGTGGGGGCAGCGCTAGGCATGTCTGAGTTCAGACTCTCCTTGAGTGGGTCTTGCTGTGGCTGCTGTGGGAGATGGAGGTGTGGCTGTGGCTGCTGTGGGAGATGGAGGTGTGGTTCCCAGGTCAATGGAGTTATGTTCCTAGGAGGATTATGCTGCCTCTGATGTGTCATGCAGGTTGTCAGGGAAGTGAGGGAAAGCTGGCAATCACAGGCCTCACCCAGCTCCCTCACAACCCAAAGGGCCAGTCTCACTCTCACCATTCCCTGCTCAACAGCACCAAGTCTGTGTCCAGGGCAGTGGGCAAGCAGGGCTGAGAGCTTGCCCCAGGCTACCAGCCGCCCAGCTGTGAGAGCTGTGAACCCTTCGTGCTTCCCTGCCTGTGGTCTGCACACAGGATTCACGCCCTCCCTGTAGTTCTGGCCAGGAGACTTCTTGTTCAGTTGGAATTGTTACAAAGTTCAGCTGGAGGCTTCCTTCTCCCTGTGGCCTTTTCCCAGTGCCTCTGGTAGCCCTCCCCAATGACCCCTGGGAGGCAAGGCAGAAATGGATTGCTAGGTCACCCAGAGAGCCCACAGGGATTTTCCCACTGCTTCCTCTACCCCTGCATTTCACTCGGCTCTCTAAATTGACTCAGCTCCAGGTAATGTCAGAATCTTCTCCAGTGATCTAGATCTTGCGGTTCCCCAGTGAGGTTGTGTGTTTGGGGGTGAACGATGCCCCTTTCCGACTTCCATAGTTTGGGCACTCATGGTGTTTGGGGTGTCTCCCAGGTCCTGCAGGAGCAATTCACTTCCCTCAGAGGGTCTGTGGGTTCTCTTGGCTTTCCTGATTTCTTCCTGCAGTCATTCTGGAGCAAAAGTTCATGATGCAATACTCCACATGCTGCTCTGTCCATCTGAGTGGGAGCTGCAATCTAGACCTGCCTCCTGTCTGCCATGATCCTCCCAGAGAGATAGTAGCTTTGACACTCATCTATGTGGATGAAAAAGCCACAGGACACTTTAATTTGTATTTTAGTATTCCTCATATATTTTCTGCATTCATTTACATGTCTGCCTCCCCAGCAACTTCTTATGGCACCATGCTTTGTAATTACCATGTGCTGAGTGGCTACTAAGTGACAGATATTTATTTATATGTTTTATGTGGCTTAACTTACATACTCTTCTGAGAAGCTGTTTAAATTTCATTCTCTCTTATTTTCGTTTCCAGGTCTAGGAAATGGAGGCACAGTGAGATAAAATAAGTTGCTCAAAGCCATATGGCAATTAAGACTTGAACTCTAAAAGGGTTTTATTTTTATTTTTATTTAATTAATTAATTTTTTTGAGACAGAGTCTTGCTCTGTTGCCCAGGCTGGTGTGCAGTGGCACAGTCACAACTCACTGCAGCCTCAACCACCTGAGCTCAAGGGATCCTCCCATCTCAGCCTCCCAAGTAGCTGGGACCACAGGAAGGTGCCACCATGCAAGGCTAATTTTTTATTTTTAGTAGAGATGGGGGTCTCACTATGTTGCCGAGGCTGGTCTTGAACTCCTGGGCTCAAGCAGTTCTTCCATCTCAGGCTCCCAAAGTGCTGGGGTTACAGGCTGTGCTCGGCCTGTTTTATTAATCTCTAAGTGCCCTGCATCTGCTCTAAGGAGTGTGGCATAGTCCTTGATACTGGATAACTGAGTAACGCAGGTAGTTTGTATGAGAAGTGCAGTAACCACATGGTGAATGGAAGATGATGCTGTACACTTGCCCGGAGTTCACAGCTGGGACACTGCGGTTACCAGGACGCAGCTTCCAGAATGGCTGACTAAAACTAGAAAATGCAGACTCCACTGGGTCTTTGTGTTTCTGTTTTTTAAACGGGAAAATTAATTCTGCCATTTACCTTCAAAGAGTTAGTGGGAGTGACATAAAATTGTTGATAAAAATCTTTGGAAGTCTCAGTGAGGGGATCTGCTATAATGAAATAATGAAATAATTGATGAAATTATTTTGTTCGTAAACAGTCTGAGGGCCAAGGGAAGAGAAGAGTGACATAGAATCTCCTTTCCTTGAGATCTTAGAATCACGCCTGCCTCCTTACCTCCATCCAGGACTGTTAAAAATCTCCCAAGGCAGAGACTTTTAGGCCTACATGTACTTAGCCTCCTCTTCCCACCTCCTGTTCATCTCTGTTTCCAATGTTCCACTGCCATCACTGCCAGGAAGTTCTGCAGAGAAGAATGAAGAAGAACCGTATGATCCTAAACATGTTCTTTGAAGATATTATCAACCCACCATTGGCCTTATTTACTGGAATGTTTTTATAACCTTTATTTGACACCTCTTCCCATCATTTAAAATAAATCTGGTGCTTCCCTGAATAATCTCTTGAGATTTGTACATGTCTCCCAGCATCATATTTGTCCTTTTAACAAGCACACTCCTTCCACTGCTCATGGCCAACTCAGGTTCACTACAATCAGGGAATCTATGTCTTGCAACAATCAGGTCTATATCAAACTTGAATTTATTTTCTTTTGTTTCTGAGAACTGTAATTCCACTCCAAGGCCTATACTGTACCCAACAGAGCTGCATATATGTTTAACGAAAACATGTCTTAGAATATTCACAATACTTCTACTACTTATGCCCTCAAACTGCAAACTACCCAAATACCGGAGAATAGAATGGATGAATGAATTGTAGTAATATTTATTGAATGCAATATAATAATGATAATGAATTAACTGGAACTATATCCAAGAAGGATGAATCTCACAGACATTATGTTGGCTGAAATGAGCCAATCACAGAAGTGTACATACTCTATAACTGCTACAGAAAGTTCAAAGAACAGGCAAAACCAATGCACAATGTTAGAAGCTGGGATTGCATTTATCCTGGGGTAGGGGATGGGGTATTGGCTGGAAGTAGGGGTGAGGAGGCCCTCTGCTGTTTTTGTTGTATTCTCTTTATCTGGGTGCTGGTTTTGAGGGTGTGTTCACTTTGTGAAAATCCACTGAGCTGTAAACTTATGTACATTTCTATATGTGTGTTTTTATAAAACTTACAGAAAACAAAGAAGAAATATATTGCCGTATATTGATTGGACTCTATTCTGGGCTATCTTGGAAACTGCAGCTTGAAGACAGCTAGGCCTCAGCATATGCCCTGACCTCCTGCAATCTAAGCTCTGGATCCTGGTCAACTTTGGGAGAATAATCAAGCCAATTTTCAGAGAAGCAGTTTCTATGTCTTTCAGGTCCTTGTGTCCTAAGGGATTAGGAGCATTAGGGACCTGGTCTCAGTGTGATCCTGAGAGCTCATCCATTCTCTGGTCATCCTTCAAGGAAATGCCAGGCTCCTGAATTCATCTGCACAAACAGAGCTGGCCAGGCTACCTGCTGCCCACCATCCCATTGTCTTTCCTGCATTGTTCTGGGACTCTGGCCACACTTACCTTCCAAAATAACTGTGCAGTTGTCATCATTGTTCAGGAGACTATTTTGGAACACTGGCTTAGCTTGGTGACGTGTAGAGATCCAGGAAGGGCCTCAGCTGTCGGGAGGGAGGCCCAGGGCCATCAGGGAGCTGGGGGTGGTAAGAAGTGACAGGGATTGGGCTTCAGGAGGTGTGGAGGGGCCCAGGGGGAGCACCATTTCTGACAAGTGTTCAGTCTTGGTGTGGAGAATTGCAAAGAAAGAGGAGAAAGGATTTGGGGGGATTGGGTGCAGGTTGGAGGGAAGCTGGGAGGGGAGAAAAGAGTGAAGGAACATTAGATTGATTAGTGCTGGAGGAAGAGGTAAGGAGAGACTTCGTTCACAGAGGAGGGGCTGGGAAGTGAGGGTATGAGTTAAAGGGCACTAATGGTATGCTGACATATTGTTTCAAGAGTGGTTTCTGTAGCCTGGAGGACTTAAGGACAGCTGTTGGGAATCTACGGGGTGATAGAAAAGTAAGTGGGAGAAAGGGGATGTGATGATTGATGGGCAGCTTAGTGTCGAGTCAGGTGACATCCTGCCATGTTTAGCAATGTAATAAGTGGTCAGATGACCTCACAATCTTCAGGGCTGGGAGATGGCAGAACCTTCTCACAGGGGTTGTGACAGAGGAGTTGGGTAGATGTGTTCTCAGCATAGATGTGTTCTCAGTGGGCAAAGGTGGAATTCCCTTCTCTTTTCTGTTTTCGCTTGACAACACAGGCCTGCAGAAACAGCATACCATGAGTTAAAACCCCTCAATTGCATGGGTTTTTGCACCCCCATGATTTGACAGGGTCTCTAGCTCTTTGAAAGTCTGCAACAAGACAGAAGAAAAGTCTGGGCTCCTGTGGGGGTGTTACATGTGCTTGTGTACAAATTAGCCCCCACAGGACTCTGCAGCTCCACGTTGCTCTGCTGGGCACTGGGGCCATGTGCTCTGTTGGTCTATGGGAACCTCTGTCTCCCTAGAGTTACAGTTTAAGAGAGGGGTTTCCAAAAAAGGTTGCTAATGTCCCAGGATTTTATGGACTTTAAGTAAAACTTCTTTTTTTCTGTTGTACTCAGAATGTTTTGAAGCTTTGTTCCTAGGTTACCTCACAGTGCCTGAATTCTTTCCTTTCTTTTCTTAGACATGGGGTCTTGCTCTCTCACCCACGCTGGAGCGTAGCAGCTATTCACAGGTGTGATCATAGCACACCACAGCCTCCTGGGCTCAAGCAATCCCCCTGCTTCAGCCTCCTGAGTAGCTGGGACCATAAGCAGGAGCCCATACCCAGCTTCAATTCTTCTTTTCCTACAATAAGTTCTGGTCCAGAAAATTTTGCAACTCACCCCCGCCCTTCACTCCACAAAAAGACTTCCACTGGGATTCCTGTCAAAATGCCAGACTCACTTGAATCCCTAGGATGGATCCAGCCTCGGTTTAAGTGCAGATTCCTGCTTCATCTCAGAGCCTGGCTGTTTTGAGGAGCAGGTGGTTTTACCCATCCACCCACTCGCCCCTTGCTTCATTGTCTAGGCCTGTCCTTTCTCACCTAGTGTCCTAATCCCCTCCTCACTACCTCACAATGGAGAAAGCTCTGTGTTGCTTTCTTTCAGGATTTTCCTGCTTTTCAAAAGAGCTAGGGCACTATGTGCTTTCATGCAGGACCTAAGCAAATAAGGACATCTCAAGGAGATGCCTAACTCTTAACCTGGTGCCCACCCCACCCTGGAGAGGACAGTTCTTGTTCATAGTGTACATGATTGTTTATGTCAAAGACCCAATGAGTTTGCAAAGACCTCTTAGGACTAATAAGTGAGTTTAACAAGTTTGCAGGATATAAGGTTAACACACACACACAAACAAATCAATTGTATTTTTATACATCAGCATATTAGGGTTCTCTAGGAAAACAGAACCAATAGGATACACACACACACACGTATATATGTGAGAGGTACACACACACGTGTGTGTGTGTGTTTAAAAAGAGCGAGGCAGAGAGAGATTGGTTAGTTTTAATGAATTTGCTTGTGTGATTGTAGGGGCTGGCAAATTTGAATTCTACAGAGCAGGCTGTCATGGTGGAGACCCAAGGAAGAGCTGATGTTGCAGCTCATGCCTGGAGGCCGTCTGCTGGTAGAACTCCCTCTTTTCCAAGGAACCTCAGTCTCTCTTCTCAAGGCCTACAACTGATTGGGTGAGGTCCACTTACATTATGGGGGGTCATCTGCTTTACTCAAAGTTGATTGATTTAAGTGTTAATCACATCTAAAACATTTCTTCACAGCATCATCTAGACTGGTGTTTGAGCCCAAACTGTCTACCATGGCATGGCCAAGTTGACACATAAAATTAACCTCAAGGCTGGGCGTGGTGGCTCACGCCTATAATCCCAGCACTTTGGGAGGCCGAGGCGGGTGGATCACAAGGTCAGGAGATTGAGACCATCCTGGCAAACATGGGGAAACCCCATCTCTACTAAAAATACAAAAAAATTAGCTGGGAGTAGTGGCGGGCGCCTGTAGTCCCAGCTACTCAGGAGGCTGAGGCAGGAGAATGGTGTGAACCCGGGAGGCGGAGCTTGCAGTGAGCTGAGATCGTGCCACTGCACTCCAGCCTGGGTAACAGAGTGAGACTCCGTCTCAAAAAAAAAAAAAAAAAATTAACCATCACAACCAGAAATGTGGAATTGGATAGGAAAATTGAAAACCAGTACCACATAGAATACCAAAAAATGAAATAGATAAACATCTTACTGAAAGCTACAAAATACCAGTGAAAATACTCAAAGAAGATATAAACAAATAACAAGAAACACCATATTTGAAGATTGGAAGACTTAACTTTAAAAAGTTGCCAATTCTGCCAAAACTGATATAGAGATTTAAAACAATTCCAGTCAAAATCTCACCAGGACATATTGTTGCTATAGACAAGCTGATTCTAATGTTTACATGGAAAGTCCAAGGACTTGAATAGCTAAAACAACTTTGAAAAATAAGAATAATGGTGTAGGAAACATGCTACCCAGTTTTAAAACATACTACAAAGTTACAGTAATCAGGACAGTATGGTATTGCCTGGGAACACAGAGCTCAATGGAACAGAATCGAGTCCAGAAAGATAACTGCTTAAATATGGCCATGTGATTTTTGACAAGGGTGCAAGGGTAATTCAGTAAAGGATCATATTTTCAACAAATGATGTTAGAACAACTGAACATTCACATAAACAAAACAGACAAACAAGAAAACTGAAACCTTACAGCTTGTATACAAATGAACTCAATATTGATGAGATGTAAAAGTGAAGCTCTAAAAAGTTCAGAAAAGAACATAGTAGAAAATCTCTTCCTGGGATTAGGAAAAGAGTTCTTAGACACGGTACTATAAGCACGATCCGAAAAAGTTGATAAATAGGTCTTTATTGAAATTAAAAGACTTAAGATGCTATTAAAAGAATGAAAACAGTATAGCCCAGGAGAAAAACTTTGCAAGTCACATATGTCACAAGACTTTGCAGAATATATAAATGGCAAATAAAACACAAAAAGATGTTCAATATCATTAAGCATTAGAGACTTGTAAACAAACCAAATACACCTATTAGAATTGCTGAAAAAAGGAAAACCTTTGGTAATACCAAGAACTGTTGAGAGCAATTACATTTTTTTTTTATTATTATTATACTTTAAGTTCTGGGGTACAAGTGCAGAACGTGCAGTTTTGTTACATAGGGATACATGTGCCATGGTGGTTTACTGCACCCATCAACCCATCACCTACATTAGGTATTTATCCTAATGTTATCCCTCCCCTAGCCCCCTACCCCCCGACAGGCTCTGGTGTGTGATGTACCCCTTCCTATGTCCATGTGTTCTCATTGTTCAACTCCCACTTATGAGTGAGAACATGCGGTGTTTGGTTTTCTGTCCTTGTGATAGTTTGCTGAGAATGATGGTTTCCAGCTTCATCCATGTCCCTGCAAAGGACATGAACTTATCCTTTTTTATGGCTGCATAGTATTCCATGGTGTATATGTGCCACATTTTCTTTATTCAGTCTATTATTGATGGACATTTGAGTTGGTTCCAACTCTTTGCTCTTGTGAATAGTGCCACAATAAACATACGTGTACATGTGTCTTTATAGTAGAATGATGTTTAATCCTTTGGGTATATACCCAGAAGTGGGATTGCTGGGTCAAATGGTAATTCTAGTTCTAGATTCTTGAGGAATCGCCACACTGCCTTCCACAATGGTTGAACTAATTTACAGTCCCACCAACAGTGTAAAAGTGTTCCTATTTCTCCACATCTTCTCCAGCATTTGTTGTTTCCTGACTTTTTAATGATTACCATTCTAACTGGCGTGAGATGGTATCTCATTGTGGTTTTGATTTGCATCTCTCTAATGACCAGTGATGATGAGCATTTTTTCATATGTCTGTTGGCTGCATATATGTCTTCTTTTGAGAAGTGTCTGTTCATATCCTTTGGCCACTTTTTGATGAGGTTTTTTTTTCTTGTAAATTTGTTTAAGTTCTTTGTAGATTCTGGATATTACTCCTTTGTCAGATGGATAGATTACAAAAATTTTCTCCCGTTCTATAGGTTGCCTGTTCACTCTGATGGTAGTTTCTCTTGCTGTGCAGAAGCTCTTTAGTTTAATTAGATCCCATTTGTCAATTTTGGCTTTTGTTGCCATTGCTTTTGGTGTTTTAGTTTTAATCATGAAGTCTTTGCCCATGCCTATGTCCTGAATGGTATTGCCCAGGTTTTCTTCTAGGATTTTTATGGTTGTAGGTCTTATGTTTAAGTCTTTGATCCATCTTGAGTTATTTTTTGTATAAGGAAGGGGTCCTGTTTCAGTTTTCTGCATATGGCTACCCAGTTTTCCCAACATCATTTATTAAATAAGGAATCTTTTCCCCATTGCTTGTTTGTGTCAGGTTTGTCAAAGATCAGATGGTTGCAGATGTGTGGTGTTATTTCTGAGGCCTTAGTTCTGTTCCATTGGTCTGTATATCTGTTTTGGTACCAGTACCATGCTGTTTTGGTTACTGTAGCCTTGCATTATAGTTTGAAGTCAAGTAGCATGATGCCTTCAGCTTTGTTCTTCTTGCCCAGGATTGTCTTGGCTATACAGGCTGTCTTTTGGTTCCATATGAAGTTTAAAGTAGTTTTTTCCAATTCTGTGAAGAAAGTCAGTGGTAGCTTGATGGAGATAGATTGAATCTATAAATTACTTTGGGCAGTATGGCCACTTTGACAATACTGATTCTTCCTACCCATGAGCATGGAATGTTTTTCCATTTGCTTGTGTCCTCTCTTATTTCCTTGAACAGTGGTTTGTAGTTCTCCTTGAAGAGGTCCTTCACATCCCTTGTAAGTTGTATTCCTAGGTATTTTATTTTATTTGTAGTAATTGTGAATGGGAGTTCACTCATGATTTGGCTCTCTGTTTGTCTGTTATTGGTGTATAGGAATGCTTGTGATTTTTGCACATTGATTTTGTATCCTGATACTTTGCTGAAGTTGCTTATCAGTTTAAGGAGATTTTGGGCTGAGATGAAGGGGTTTTCTAAATATAAAATCAAAATCATGTCATCTGCAAATACAGATGATTTTATTTCCTCTCTTCTTATTTGAATACCCTTTATTTCTTTCTCCTGCATGATTTCCCTGGCCAGAACTTCCAACACTATGTTGAATAGGAGTGGTGAGAGAGGGCATCCGTGTCTTGTGCTGGTTTTCAAGGGAATGCTTCCAGTTTTTGCCCATTCAGTATAATATTGGCTGTGGGTTTGTCATAAATAGCTCTTATTATTTTGAGATACGTTCCATCGATAACCTAGTTTATTGAGAGTTTTTAGCATGAAGGGTGTTGAATTTTGTCGAAGGCCTTTTCTGCATCTATTGAGATAATCATGTGGTTTTGTCATTGGTTCTGTTTATGTGATGGATTACCTTTATTGATTTGCATATGTTGAACCAGCCTTGCATCCCAGGGATGAAGCTGACTTGATCATGGTGATAAGGTTTTTGATGCTGCTGGTTTCAGTTTGCCAGTATTTTACTGAGGATTTTCTCATGGATGTTCATCAGGGATGTTGGCCTGAAATTTTCTTTTTTTGTTGTGTCTCTGCCAGGTTTTGGCATTGGGATGATGCTGGCCTCATACAATGAGTTAGGGAGGATTCTCTCTTTTTCTGTTGTTTGGAAGAGTTTCAGAAAGAATGGTACCAGCTCCTCTTTGTACCTCTGGTAGAATTTAGCTGTGAATCTGTGTGGTCCTGGCCTTTTTTTGGTTGGTAGACTATTAATTACTGCCTCAATTTCAGAACTTGTTATTGGTTTATTCAGGGATTTGACTTCTTCCTGGTTTAGACTTGGGAGGGTGTATGTGTCCAGGAATTTATCCATTTCTTCTAGATTTCTGAGTTTATTTGCATAGAAATGTTTATAGTATTCTCTGATGGTAGTTTGTGTTTCTGTGGGATCAGTGGTGATATCCCCTATATCATTTTTTATTGCATCTATTTGATTCTTCTCTCTATTGCAATTCTTTTTTTTTTTTTTTCTTTTTGAGACTGAGTCTTGCTCTGTCCCCCAGGCTGGAGTGCAGTGGTGTGATCTCGGCTCACTGCAAGCTCCACCTCCTAGGTTCATGCCATTCTCCTGCCTCAGCCTCCTGAGTAGTTGGGACTATAGACACCCGCCACTGTGCCTGGCTAATTTTTCGTGTTTTTAGTAGAGACGGGGTTTCATCATGTTAGCCAGGATGGTCTCAATCTCCTGATCTTGTGATCTGCCTGCCTCGGCTTCCCAAAGCTCTATTTCCATTCTTATACATTGTGAGTGGGAATAAAAAATGGTATAGCCAGTCTGGAAAAGTTTGGCAGTTTCTTACAAAGTTAACATGTATTTGTCTTATAACCCAGAAACCCCACTTCCTAGAGAAATGAAAACTTAATGCTCACATAAAAACCTGTGTATAAATGTTCTATTGATAATTCTATGATTATTTGATGTTTTATTCATAATTGCTCCAAGCAAATGTCCTTCAACAGGTGAATGAACAGGTAAATGCATAAAGAAGTTGTGGTATATCCATACAATGAAATACTACTCAGCAGTAGAAAGGAATGAACTATTTACACATGCAGCAACTGAGCACTTTCCAAGGCATGATGCTGGAGGGTGGGGGAAGGAAGTAGTCTCAGAAGTTTACGTACTGTATTTCTCATTTTTGAGAAGATAAAATACTGATGAAGGATAGACCTGTGGTTGTCAGGAGTTACGAGTGGGAGAGGCTGTGATTATAAAGGGAAAACATGAGGGAGTTTTTGGGGGTGTGATGGCACTATTTTGAATCCTGATTGTGGCAGTGCTTATGTGAATCTATACATATGTTAAAATTATAGAACTGTACACCAAAAAAATAAATTTTTGTGTGTGTATATATATATATATATATATATATTTTTTTTTTGATAGGGTCTCATTCTGTTATCCAAGCTGGAGTGCAGTGGCACGATCATGGCTCCCTGCAGCCTCGAGCTCCTGGGCTCAGGTGATTCTCCCACCTCTGCCTCCTGAATAACTGGGACTACAGTCATGTGCCACCACGCCTGGCTAATTTTTTGTATTTTGTAGAGATAGGGTTTCACCATGTTGCCTAAGCTGGTCTCAAACTTCCGGGCTCAAGTGATCCACCTGTCTCAGCCTCCAAAGTGTGTGAGCCACTGTGCCTGGCCTGTCTGATGATTTAAAGAATAAAATTAATAAAATTATAGAAGATGAACATTGGATTCTGATATGGGCCTCCAGTTCCTCCTTGCTAAGGTGAGGCTGATGATCTGTAATCTATGCAGCCATTATCAAAATGCTGACCCAGTATTGTGCCTCAATTCTGAGGCTTATGTATTTTGATCTGCTTTCTTGCTTTAGATCCATTATGACTGAGAAAGACTTCTTAAATTTTGCTTTTCCATCCCAGAAATGACTGATTCCAACCTTTCTCCCCAGCTGCTCAGCATGGGCCTCCAGCTGTGCTCTGCACACTCTGATAGCAGAGAGCTTTTATTCACCCCCATTTTTGAAATATAATTTCCATACAATATAATGCATAGATCTGAAATATATAATTCAATGAGCTTTGGCAAATGTATACAGTGGTGTGTTCATACATGTTTTACAACTGGCTCTCTGGTGGGATAAAAAAGCCCTGCTTTGTAGTGTTTGCCAATTTCTGGAGTATAAATATTTCCACCGTGGTGGATTCCAAGCTATCAATGTGATGTTGACTGGCTTGCAGACATCCTGAAAAATTAACAGTCCACTCTCTTGATGGTGCCAGCGGGCTTCAGCACACCACTGCCTGTACATAACTGTGCAATCAGCACCCAGATCAACATTCAGGACATGTCCATCACCCCACAAGTTCCCTAGTGCCCCTCTGCAGTCAATCCCCACGCCTATCCTGTGCGGACAACGATTCTGATTTCTACCACCATCAATTAGATTTTCATATTCTAGAACTTCATGCAAATACAGTATATTTTTTGGCCTGACTATTTTTGCCTCAGATTTGAGAGTCCCTCCTATGATGTTTATCTGGTTGTTTGTCTTTTTCATTGCCCAGTAATATTTCATTGTATGGATGTAGTATCGTTGATTCTCCTGTTAATTGGCATTTGGGTTGTTCAAAGTTTTGGGCTTTTCTGAATAATCTTGAAAGTACTTGAGAGGCTGTAAAAAAGAGGTTCTGATATTCCTGGCAAAACTTTCTGCTGGGAAGAGGAATAGATCCTGAAGCTTCAGATTTTACTGGCGATAATGAAAGAGCATCTTTGAAAGTGTGTAGCATGCGGCAGACATTCAATAAATGTTAGTGGAGTCTCACTTTGGCAGAATTCTGTTTCTAGGATCTGTGCCCAGAAATAGATCGTCTTTTACAGAAAGGTCAGAATCAACCATTCTAGAGAAAATTTAAAAATACCTCAGAGAGATTCTGTCTTCTCATTTGATAAATCCATTTCAGGAATATTTCACAATTCTAACAATTAGAAAAAAATGGCTATGTGATATTTTTATGTTATACTTTAAAGTCTACCTATTATATATATTATCTTACTTCATACACATTTAATTTTCATTTTATGCACATTGTTTTATTTAACTTTTGCTACAATGCTGCAAGGTAAATGTACTTCTACTTTACAGATAAGGACAAATGAGGCTTGGAAATGCTAAGTAACTTTCCTAGCTCACAAAGCTAGTAAGAATTTGATCGCAGTTGCCTGACTCCAAAATGCATGCGTTTTCCTCTGCAATGTGCGGCCCCACCATGTTCACACCTCACTACAGACAGGAAGCACATATTATTCAGATAATCGCTACCCATTTTCCATTCATCCTCGTTTTTCCAGTGAGCAAAACATCTTGTACAGTCACTTTCTTTTTTCATTTCAGAAGTACACTTTGAATAGGCTCAATATGGCCTGATTTAAGCAAGCAGAAGGAAAAATCCTTACAAAGTCTGTGTGGGCCAATCAGCAATGAGATGGAGCATTCGGCAGATGGCGCTGTTTCCACACGAGTGTAACGGCGGCCACAAGCGTTCTGCCGCCAGGGGGCGCCGCGTTCCGCCGGAGAAGCGTGGCTACCAGATTCGCGGCCCAGCACGGGCTGCAGGGCCCACGCCTCCTTGGCGGTGCGTTCTTTCCCTCCAGGTGGGACGCTGCAGGCCCAGCAGCTCCCTGTGCCTCCAGATAGCCAGGGCTCTCACGTGGATAGGCTGCTGGACCAAGCTCAGTCCAGCAGGCCGGCTTCAACAGCTTCTGCTCAGCTATCCCGGACAGCACAGGACTGTGCAGAGCCTCCCCTAAACCTCATTCTTTTCAAGGGCAAAGGGAAGCACAGCAGCGTTTGCCTTTTCTTGCCAAGTTAGCACGGAGGAAGTTTCATCAGGGAGAGGCAGGGGCCTCAGAACAGGGAGGCCGCAGGGCGGCCTCGGCAGGTGAGTGCTGGCAGCCCGTGGCCTGAGACGTTAAGCACTGTGGGGAGAAATGGAGAAAGAAGCTCCTTGAACATTAGGCCCACTCCGGTGTGTGAAGCAACTGGCCCTTGAGATGAGAGCAGCCTGGTCTTCCCTTCTTGGTGAGGCTTGGGCCTTTTACATATTCCCACACAATGGAAATACGCAACCACTTCCAACTGGGTCCCAAATTCTCAAATGTCTCGACTACAGGACTCTAGGGACACAGCCTCCTCCTTAAGGATTTGTGAGATGTCTGTAAAGAAAAGGAAAATTTGTGAACCTTCTCAGAAGAAGCCACAAAAGAATACTTAGAGGCAAAAAATTACTCAGGCTGACATTTGAGAGGCTCTGGTTCACTGGTTCAGGCCCCCTTCCCAGGCTGACAAGGGTTGAGAGGCTCTGGAAGGACAGAGTCCACGGGAGCTGTGCTCTTCTGCGAATTCCGTCCAGCCATATTCCTCCACACCTGCAAAGTGGTGGAGAATGTTCTCTGCTTCACTCCACCCCAACTTGGGCATTGGAACAATGACTTCCTCATTGGGTTTTGGTAGTTTTTCCATTATGTTTTAATTTTGCCCTTTATATGAAGTGCTATATTTTGTTTTAGAATAGGCATTACATTGGCTCAAAAATCAATTCACACAGAAAGGTATACAGTGAAGTCTTACTTCCACCCCAGTTACAATCTCCTCCACATATGTGCACAGCTAATTCATTTTACTAGTATCTAGGGTACCCTTTACCAGAGTTTCTTTAAGATACTGCAAGATAGCTTAATCGCATTGCAATCTTGCATACCAAATTATATGCAAATTATGCATATAATTATGCAGACCAAAGTCTGACAGGTGCAGACCCTTGCGTATTCTCACTGAGTGTCTCCTGGGCTGCTCCTGCTGACAACCCCCTCTCCTCTCTCTATGTGATCTAGATCCATTTGAGAATCCTATGAAAGCTTTGGACCTTTCCTGAGGAAAATGCACCTAGGCACACACCTATACACATTGGCATTCAATTTTGGTGGGGGTTATGGGCTCTGTGAAGCCCATCTGTACCCTTGGTGATCACACCCCCCTTCTAAACTGTTATCTATTTAGAGCTCTGGGCAGGCACTTGGCTGAAAGCATTATGCTTCCTTTCAGAGGGAAGTTTCAGCAGGGCAAAGCCTGTATTACTGATCTCTGCTGTTTACAGAGATCTCAGTCTCTCCTCGGACCGAGGGGCATTGGTGCAGTGGAGCTGGGACCTGAGCTGGATCCTAGCTCTTAGGTAGAGTCCTGAGACTTTCATATGTCCTTTCCACAAAGTGAGTCTCACGAACAGACCTTATCCCGGAGGGTCACGGCTTTTTTCACAGAGATGGACATTGAGAGATAAGCACCCCAGGAACTACACAATTACAGTTGGGAGGAATATGGTGAAGAAAAACACCGGGGCCAGGACATCTTGTGTCACAAGGAGGCCTCCCAAGAGAGTGACATCGATGTGACGGTGTGTCCTTCAAGCCTGGGTCCAACTCCCATGTGGGGAGTGGCTGCCTTGGTCCCCAAGCCCATCATCCTGCAGGCAGTCCCTCTGACCACAAGGGGGCCTGCTGGAGCCTGGCCTGGCCCAGCCCTTCCCGCCCAAAAACACCTCCCAGTCTGGTCCCTGCTGTTGGTGACTCAAGGAGCCAACACCTGTCTCCAGAGGTCAAGGCCACCTTGAGGATATAGGGTGCCCCGACACTCCACACACGGGGCATGGAGGGAGTCTCCCGGCCGGGCCAGCCCCGGCTTCCTCTCAGTGGAATCTCTGCTACATGGGAGCCCTAGCGGGCTGGCTGGACCGACCCAGCCCCTGCCCCTGGCTTCCGCTTCTGCCCCACTTTGCTTCTTTCCCCCACGGTTGCCAGAGAGCCGCTGCCAGTTTTCCCAGCACATTGCTCACAGGAAATTAGAGTCCGAAGGTGCAAGATGAGAGAGAAAAGTCATACCTGGAATAACTGAAACCACTGGGGGCTGCATTTCCAGCTCCACTCGCCCTGTGCAAAAGCACTGAGACCCCACCTTCCTCGCAGGCTCCTGCGACACCCTCACCAGTGCTGAGGGTGCAGTTCCACCATGGACCATGAGGGGCTGCTTGCCCGGAGCTCCTGGAGGGGGCTCCCAGGGCCTGGCTCAGCTGGGAGAGGACAGAACACAGCAGGTAGCATCCGAAGCTTTACCTGTTGGCAGAGTGTGTGGTGTGTGCTTTGAGTAACATGGAGCAGGTTCAACAGAACCAAGTCTCTTCCTCTCCAAGATTCAATCACACCTAACGCTCTACTGCTGGAAACTCATCAGCCAGGCTGTGTCCTCTCTGCAAGGCACTCTTTACAGACCACTATAGAGGCTGCCTTTCTTTGCTGCTTTGCAATGTAGGAAGTGCTTCTGGTACACACCTGATGGTCTCCCCGTGACACTTCTGGAAGGTAGGCACTCGCGAGATAATTTTCTTTTGGCTGATGAGGGACTCTAGGACTGGCACCCAATTCCAG
Source organism: Homo sapiens (assembly GCF_000001405.40). Lineage (NCBI taxonomy): Eukaryota > Metazoa > Chordata > Mammalia > Primates > Hominidae > Homo > Homo sapiens. Next base: position 33,719,325 of record NC_000009.12, on the reverse strand, counting down.
GTTGCCCACTTCTCGGTTTGATGTCCACTCCATTACGTGGTGGCCAGTACCACTCAGGCGCCTAGATGTGAATGAATCTGCCTGATGACTGGACTCCATGGCAGCAAAGCAGGGCAGCCCAGCAGTGTTAGGGAAGTGGTGAGTAATCCCTCAGGGGAAGGGAGAGCCAAGGCTCTGAAGATAGGAAGCCCACAGAGGAAGGAACCCCAGGCACGAGGGCAGACTTCCCTGTGTGCCAGGCAGAGTCTGCATTCTTGGGTGTGTGTGTGAGTTTTCACTCCTGTTAGTTCTTGGAGTTGACAACCAGCAATCACGTTTTGAATGGTCTCCTGGCCATGGATGGTGAACTGTGGGGTGTGTGTTCAGCGCTCTGTGCTGTTGCTGTTGTGGGAGCAACACCCAGAGCTCCATCGAGCCAGTATGTCCAGCTCTGTCTCTCTCAGCTAGCCTCCAAAATCTCTTCATGAGGGCATGACTCCCACTCGTGAGGGCTCCGCTCTTGCTCCCTAATCACCTCCCAAACATCCTACATCCTAACACCATCACATTAGCAGTTATGGTTTTAACAGATGAATTTGCAGGAGGGAAAAGACACACAAAAATTCCACTCATAGCACCCAAAGTGAGATTTAAGGTGATGCAAGAACACAGCATTAAATTTCATTGAATCGCACTAATACACTCTATTTAGTAGTAAGATGAATTAGTCAAAGACAGTCTGTTTGGTGAGAATAAGCACATAACATCTAACACCTACCAAACTCTCTTTTTATGAAAGAGAAAGCAAGCTTCAGCTTTGGCCCTCTTAAAGCTGGCAATGATATCTGGTTATATTAATAACGTTGTTTTTGTTTCATCGAATTTATTTTTATGCTTGGCTACCTTCTATTTACCGTAAGTGATGCCAATTTTTCTTTTCGGCTTATGATTGCAAGATTCCTTCATAAACATATGAATCTAAATTAAAAAGTGAGTTTAAAGAAACGTATTAACTAAATAACAGAAGGAATAATATACAGATATGGAAAAGTCTGAAGGTATGGAATTCTGTACTACCCCCAGAAGCTTATGAAAGCTTCTTTTTTCTAAGGAAAATTCCCTCTATGAGAAGAATTCTGATGCCAACACCAATCAATTTCTGAAATCTACTTCGATTCATCTCTTGGGTCAGTTTGTTTTATTTTCGTTTACAAGAAGGGCTCACGGGTTTTATGTTCTCTAGTGTTTATATGTTTGACTACTGCATCTGATTTAACAAGAACTTGTATGGTAGGAAATTGTTGTGTTCCACTTTCTTTTCCTCCGAACTTTGTGGACACTGTTTTACTATTTTCTTGCATCAAATGCTGCCTGATTCTCAGGGTCCTCTCCCAGCCCTACCCCACCATTGTAAGTGGATTGCTTTTTGTTCTTGAATACATGAGACTATTTTCTTTTACTTTGAAGTGTAGTAAATTCATCAAGTATGTCTCAGAGTTGAGCCAGCACTGTCACTTCTTTCCAGAATCCAGGGAGCCCTTTCAATTTCCTAGCCAGCTCTTTCTTTTCTTTTATATTGGTAGATATTTTTTGTATTTCATGCACTGTAGTCTTTCTTTTGGGGAAACAAGGACCCATGGGTAGATCATTATCTATCCCTCATAGCTTAATCTTCATCCTAACCATTTCGACTTTATTGTCTTTTCCCTACACACCTTCTATGATTATCTCAAGCTTTTTTGAAAGTGATGAATTTAATATTTGACTATGTTAATTTTGTTTCTTGCTCTTTCAAATTTACTTAACTCTGTAATTGCTGTTTTGATCTGCAATTTTTCCTTAGCTTTGTAACTACCATTTTTCCATCTTATTTTATTGTCTCATCTAAGTATTTATTTATTTTTGTTTCAATGAATATGTTTTCTTTGTTTTTTTCTAGATACAAAATACTTGTCTTAGATTTTTTTCTCTGTTTCTTAGGCTTATATTAGATTTCAGGATGGATTTTTCACTTTCCCATTTATACTATATTTCCTCTTCTTTTTTGTGTTAAGCTCTCTGCATAGTTGCCATGAATTTTCTTTTATTCCTGCAGAATTTTTAATAAAAGGAGCTCTATCAGCGCATCCCATTTGCCTGTATATTCTGTAAATCAATGTTACTTGGTTCTCATCTCAATGTGTCTGAGTGCTGTTGTCTTCCCTTCAGTAGTGTTTGCTTCTATTCTTACAATCTTTCTTACCCTTAGCAAGTTACTTATGCTTTCCGTGCCTCAGTTTTGTCAACCTACATCCTATATACAGGTTCAGCACTAAATGAGCCATAATGTGTAAAATGCTTATAACAGTGTCTGGCATACACGAAGGCTATTATCCTCAGGAAGGGAGGCTCTCTTCTCTCCAGCTTCTTTTTACCCCCAACTTTTATTTTAGGTTCAGGGGGGTACCTGTTCAGGTTTATTATATGAGTAAATTATTTGTCATGGGGGTTTGGTGTATGGATTATTTCATTGCCCATGTAATAAACATAGTACCCGACAGTTAGCTTTTCAATTCTCACCCTCCTCCCAATCTCCACCCTCACTAAAAATACAAAAATTAGCCTGCCATGGTGGCATGCACCTGTAGTCCCAGCTACTTGGGAGGCTGAGGCAGAAGAATCACTTGAACCCAGGAGGCACAGGTTGCAGTGAACTGAGATCGCACCACTGCACTCTAGCCTGGGCGACAGAGTGAGACTCTGTCTCAAAAAAAAAAAAAAAAAAAAAGATGCGACCGTGTTCTGAATACAGATGTTTATTCTAAATATAAGGCAATTCTCTAAAACAATGACAATGAGTGAAATCAATAATAAGCACTCATTTTCATGCATGAAAATCACTTACCAATTTTTTTGTAAACTTTTTGATGAAAACATATTTTTAAAGTTTCTTTTGTAAACTTTTTGATAAAAGAAAACCCTTCGACCCAGTAATTCTACATCTAGTAATTTATCCTAGGAAAAAATCAGGACACACCAAAAGTTGTATGGATAACTATGCTCATTACATTGTTATTTATAACATGAAAAATTGTAATCAACCTAAATGTTTGATAAATTAAGGAATAGCAATACAATAAAACTCAAAACAGACATTAGGCTATAGTAGAATATTTACTGACATAGATAAATGTTCATTTTATATATTTAAGAGAAAATGTGAATTTAATCCTGTTTCTCTGGAGGGGGAATAAGCAAAAAAAAATATGTGTTTGCATATTTTACATATATAAATATATAAAAGGTCTTTGATATATGTAAAAGATGCAAACAAAATGGTACATATACCAAAATGTTTGTGGTTACTTCTGAATGGTAGGATTATGAATATTTTTCTTGGTGGTTTTCTGTATTTTCCAACTTTCATCCAATTATATGTATGTATATGTATCTGTACAGGCCTATATTCCTTATCTATAATTCAGAAATCCAAAAAACTTTCACAATGGACATTTTCCATGAAGTTAATAAAAAGTCGTTTAGCAACAAAAACTTGGTCTGAACCGGCATGAGCCTTTGTACAGTGTATAATTATGAGTCTTTCTATAGTCTGCATTTATCCCATGCCTTGTGGACACACTTCTATTTCACTGCAGATGCGCTCTGCCCCAGAATTCCTGGAGGTTATATAATATTCAGTCTGTGCTATTCTAATATGAAAAATCTTCTGGATTCTAAAGCATCTACCTTCTATGGTTTCAAATAAGGAATTGTGGATAATATTTTAGGTTGTTTTGTTTTGGTTTGTATTGTTTGAGACACGGTCTCACTCTGTCATGTAGGCTGGAGGACAGTGGGGTGATCAGAGCTCACTGCAGCATCAACCTCCCAGACTCAAGCAATCCTTCTGCCTTAGCCCCTGAGTAGCTGGGACCACAGGTGCCCGCCACCATGCCCAGCTAATTTTATTTATTTATTTATTCATTTATTATTTATTATTTAGAGATAGGGGTCTCACTATGTTGCCCAGGCTGGTCTCAAACTCCTGTCCTCAAGCAATCTTGAGGTGTGCTTTGCAATGTCTCACATTGCATAGCACTGTCAGACAGTGACAGTGCTATGGTTCCATTATGCAATTGCAATTATGCAATTAAACATAATTTGGTCCGCAAATTATGCATATGCAATTGCATAATGCAGTTGCATTATGGTCCTGACAAGATTGCTTAATTGCATAATTAACTGCATAATGGAACAGAGAGGTGATGCATAGAGATGCATAGAGAGGTGTGTTTTGCTGTTGTTGAGGTGTGTTTTGCTGTTGTTGGAAGCTGTATTCTGTAAATGCGATTTAGATCAAATTAGTTGATAACATTGCTCAAATTGAATGTACTCTTACGACTTTCTATCAATTATTATATCAATTATTTGTTATATCAATTATTGAAAGAGGAGTATTGAAATATTCAAGTATAATGGTAGATTTGTTTATTTCTCTTGCAATTCAATCACTTATTTTCTTCATGTATGTTGAGACTCTGTTATTAGGGGAATAAACATTTTGGATTTTGTGTTTATGAATTAACCCCTTTAACACTGTGAAGTGACCCTTATTATCCCTGGTTATATATATATATATATATATATATATATATATATATATATATATAAAATACATATAAAATATATATATTTATTATTAAAATAATAAATATATAATATATAAAATATATAACATATATTATATATAATATATAAAATGAATATAAAATATATAATACATATTATATATAATATACATATAATAGATATGTATTGTATATATAAATACATATAAAATATAAAATATATAAGATACAATATATTATATACAATATATTATATATTATATACAATATGTTATATATTTGATATTATATATTATATACAATATGTTATATATTTGTGATATTGTATATAATATATAATATATATTTTATATGTATTATATGTATAATTTTATATAATATATATTTTATATGTATTATATGTATTATATATAATGTATATATTTTATATGTATTATATGTATTATATATAATATACACATTATATATAAAAATATATTAAATATATAATATATATAAAATATATATAATATAATATATAATATATATAAAATATATGTTATATATGTAAAATATACATTATTTTACATATTTTATATAATGTAATATATTTTATATAATATTATATAATATATATTATATAATATATAATATATATTATATAATATATATTATAATATATAATATATATTATAATATATATTATATAACATAATATATATTATATAAATATATTATATAAATATATTATATATTATATAAATATATAATATAAATATATAATATATATATTATATAAATATATAATATAAATACATAATATATTATATAAATATATTATATATTATATATATTATATAAAATATAATATAATATATTATATAAATATGTATTATATAATATATATTTTTTGCTTTGGAAAATCTATTTTGTCTGATAGTAATATAGTTACTTCAGCCTTATTTTGATCAATGTTGGTATGGTATATCTTTTGTTATTATTTAATTTGACTTATTTATGTCTTTATGTTTAAAGTAGGTTTCCCCACTGGGTACACATGAACATAAAGGTGGGAACAATGGACAGTGTAGAGTCCAAATTGGGGGAGGGAGGAAGGGGAGCCAGGTTTAAAAAATAATCTGTTGGGCTCTGAGTTCGCTATTTGGGTGATGGGTTCAATTGAAAACCCAAACCTCAGCATCATGCAATACACTCGTGTAACAAACCTGGACACGCACCACTTGAATCTAAAATTTAAAAAAATAAAAAAGGTGTCCTGTGGGCAGCATATAGTTGAGTCTTCCCTTTTCATACAATCTGACAGTATCTGTCTTCTAATTGGATTGTTTAGGTAACTTACTCTTAATGTATTTATTGATCTGTTTGGGTTTAAGTCTGTCACATTGCTATCTGTTTTCTGTTTATCCATCTGTTCTTTGTTTCCTTCTTCTTTTCTTTTCTGGCCTATATGTATTTTTTTTATGCCCCCATTTTATTTTCTTTGTTGGCTTACTAGCCATAAATTTCTTTTGTATTATTAAATTTCTCAATTCTCAGCAACTATATATTGAAAATTCTACATCTTACCATTCTCTTTATTCTCTCCTTCAGCTGTCCAGAGGCCAGCTGTTGGTCTGAAAGTATTTGTTACAAGCAAGTACCATTAAGCACATTGTTTAGTGTAGCTGATATTATTTTTTGAACCAAGTCTTTCTTTATTAAAAAAAGCAGTGCATTGGTTTAAATTCTGGTACGGGCTCCTTTATCTCATACTGGCTTTGTGCAGCACTGTTCTAGATGTTATAGAAATAGGCACAGGGTACAGTTCTGTCTTGGCAAGGCCGGAAAGGCCTTTAAGGCTGCTGCAACACTTAGGCTGCGACTTCAGAGATGGCCAGTTTGTTCATCCAGAAAATGGGGTAGGAAAGAACATTCCAGATGTTATAAGTTTCTTGACGTCATGGACTTTGTCTTCTTCATCTTGGTAGTCTCATAACAATGCCTGACACATAATAAATGTTCAATAAATGTCTGTAGGATTGAACTCAACAAATTGCGGGAAGTAATGTCAGTTAAAGTGCCGAAATAAGAGATATAGGTGTCTCATCGGGGACAGCAAGTCTAGGGTGAAAAGTGATGCTAGAGAAATAACAAAAAAAAATCACACATGGAAGGCATTGTTTGGCATGTTAAGGGTCTCAGATCTTATCCTAAAGAGTATAGAAGGTTATTTGAAGGGTTTCAAGCAGAATGTCATCAGATTCACATTTTAGAAGATCCCTCTGAGTGCAGTGTAAAGGGTGGTTCAGATTGGGCTAATCTGAAGGTAGAGAGACCAGATGGGGGCTCTTGCAGTAGTCCCCCAGAAATATGGTGACAAACTGAGCTAAGATTGGCTTCCCACCAGGGAGCAGTCACTTCTGTCTCCAGACATAGACTCAGTGGAATTTCTCCCAGCTCTGAGATATTCAATGGTATTAGGTAGCAACCAGTACCTTTCTCTCTCCTCCCAGATCTAGGAAGTCCATGCTTGCCTTGTTCTGGATGTTTGCAATGGAAGAGTGAACAACATCTTAAGGGGGCATGAAGAAGCGAAGATGGTGTTATCTAACTATACATTATTGCCATTTCCTTCTATTGGGAATTAAATATGTCCCCAAAGACAGTGTCCCTGAACAAAAGGAAAGACAGCAAACACTTCTCATTGCAAGAGTTCTTTCTGGATACATGTTATTCTTGCCCAAAATACTTCATTACCAGAAAATTAGAAATTTTTATTCATACTCTCATACCCTAGAGAACCCTGTCTTAGTCTGTTTTATGTTGCTATATCAGAAGACATGAGACTGTGTAATTAATAAAGAAAAAATATTTTATTTGGCTCACAATTCTGGAGGTCAGGAAGTCCCAAACTGAGCAGCCCATCTTGTGAGGGTCTTGTGCTGCTTCAACTCATGGCAGAAAATGGATGGGGGAGTGGGAATGTCCAAAGAGATGAAACATGAGAAGGAAAAACTTGTTGTCATGGTAACTAACCAAGTCTGTAAGAGTGAAACTCACTCCCGAGAGGAGGCATTAATCTGTCCATGAGAGATCTGTCCCCATGATCCAACACCTCCCACTAGACCCCACCCCCAACACTGCCACACTGGCATTTAAATGTCAACATGAATTTTGGTGGTGACAAACCACATCCAAACCATTGCAAACTCCCTCACCTTCCCATCCTCTATACACTCAACTTTTATACACTTCAAGGAGCAAATCTAGTTTACTAATTCCTTTTCTGTAATTTATTTTATTTCTAAAGCAGGTGCTGTGTGAGGGAAACAAATATCTGGTTTGCAAGAGACAGAAGTGAAGGAGAAGTAATACTAATGATGATAATAATGATAAGGAAAAAACACCCAGGAGGAAAACTGCCTAACATTGATATGTAACAATCAAATGTGTGTGTGTGTGTGTGTGTGTGTGTGTGTGTATGTATGTAATTTCAGCAAAGTGCAGTTGTGATAGCTGTAAGAGTACACAGGTACATTAACAATTCATTTTCTAGGCGAATAACTGACTCCTGGCCAAAATTTCCTGTCGTGGATAACAAGCAAATCCAAACTTGCCCATAGGCTCATGCTTTCATAACACACCTAGTGTCTTGCTATCACCTTTCCCCCCAAAGACCTCCAATGATTTGAAAAAATGAAAAAGAAAAACAAGACAATATTCATTTTGTCCTGATAGATTGCTTTATTAATTCTATGAGAGAGAGGAGGACAAACCAAGAGGCTAGCTGAAGTTACATAATGGGTGATGAGTGTCCAATTCTAGGGTATTTCTCCTTGATAAATGATTTATTATTGTCACAAAAGATACCAAATTTTGATACTCTAAATAGCAGTGCTGTCCAATGGAGATAAACTATGCCATATTCATAAATTTAAAATTTCTAGTAGACTCATTAAAAAGGTAAAAACAGGAGAAATGAATTTTAATGCTATATTTTATTTAACCCAATATTAACAATTATCATTTCAATATAAAAATAATCTTACTATTAATGAGATTTTAATATATTTTTTCATACTAAGTCTTGTACATCTGGTGTGCATTTCATGCTTACAGCACATCTCCATTAGCACTAGCCACAATTCAGGAGCTCAGTAGACACGAACTAGTGGCTTGCATATTGGAGAGTGCATGTCTAGAGTTTCTTAGGTAATTTGACTTCTTCAAGGGCCCTTAATCATGGCCTAAGGAGCCTAGATTTACTTTGCTAGGGCTGTTTTCAACAAGTGCATGCATAATTCTAGTAGGGTGAGGGTATGGATAGGGTGAGGAAAAAAAAGGCTGTAAAGGATGTATGGGATTCTGAGCCCAGCCCATCCAATCTCCAGGGATGCACTGGTGTCAACTTCAAGCTACCTTGTCACAGATGCCATTGAGCCAAATCATAAGGCAAAGGAAGTCTAGGTTGCAATGGGGCAGATGAAGCCCAATTTATACTCCCATTCTGGTGGGTCTGTAGTACTTTTCTTAGCTGTTTCTCAGAATTTGTCTACTTTATGTTCCCTGCTGTGTGTCTATAATGATCCTTAAGAAGAATGGACAGTCCCATAGGCGATTAGAGGTGGGAGGGGCTTTAGGGGTTCTTTGGTGCAACCTCCTCATTTGATAGTTGAGGACAGTGAGACCGGTATCTCAGGGTCTGTGACGTTCATGAGCCCTTAAAAGAAGGATGCAGAAAGTGACTACATAGCCCACCAGGAAACCCATGTGAAAGCCACGAGGAAGAGCCTGTTCCCAGAGCCTGGACACACCAGGACGGTGATTTTCCCATGTGCTTTCTGAGAATACCCACCCCTGTGAGCCACAGGCCACACACAGACGAGTGTCCCAACAGCTTCTCTCCAGATTAGGTCATTTCTTCACAGAGCCTTACCAAGATATGCACCTTTAGACCAGCTCAGTTCTAGAAGAAATTTTTTTTTTCTGTTGTAAATATTTTCTAATAATTTTGTTCTCCAAAATACATATTTTAAAATTTGTTGAGTTGGCTTCCTCTGAGGCCTCTCTCTTTGGCTTGTAGATAACCATTTTTTCTCCTATACCTTTTTTCTGGTTTTCCCTCTATGCATGTCTGTGTCCTAACCTGATAAGGACACCAGCCATATTGAATTAGGGCCCACCCTAATGACCTAATTTTAACTTAATTATCCATGTAAAGACCGTGTCTCCAAATATAGTCACATTATGGGGCACTGGGACTTAGGACATCAACATATGAAATGAAGAGGGTAGCATAGCTCAGTCCATAACAATGGAAATAATAAAAGTACTTAGTTTGTTGTGGCAATTAAATGAGTTGCCACGAATAAAGAGGTTAAAAAATTGCCATGCATACAGCTATTCAAAATATTTTCTCTGCTCTGCTTCTATCACAATAGTTTCTTATGTCAGTGCCAGTCTCTGCGTTAAACTACTCACATACTATTTCATTCAACGCTCACTCCACTTCTGAGAGGCTTATATTATTTACTTCATTTTATAGATGTGAAAACTGAGGGCTTAGAGGGCTTAAGTCACTTTCTAAAGCTACTAAGTGCCAGAAACTGTCTGACTGCAAATCCTGCACTCTCAACCATGATGTGTAACTATTTCCATTTCTCTACATGCTTTATGGTAAACGTGATGGTGAATTTACCGTTCAACAATTTGACTTTTCAATTTCTTTTAGGAATTATTTTCCAATCACTCCAGGAAGGAATTATTCCCAAGATGAGTAGTCTCCCTGAGGATTGAAACAGCTGTAATGCTCCCCTGCTGGAACATTCTGATCCTAAACCTATAGAGATGAGGAATTTGTAGAAATGGAACCTGCCAAGAACAGAAACTGGCAGAATCTGTCACAAGAAAAAGGTCCCAATCAGACTCCAAGAGAGGGTTCTTGGATCTTGTGCAAGAAAGAATTTATGAGGAGTCTGAGTAAAGTGAAAGCAAGTTTATTAAGAAAGTAGAGGAATAAGAGAATGGCTACTCCAAAGACAGAGCATCCCTGAGGGCTGCTGGTTGCCTATTATTATGGTTATTTCTTGATCATATGCTAAACAAGGGGTGCATTATTTATGCAGGGTTACATCCTGATGTTGCTATGGTATTTGTGAACTATTATGGCGCTGGTGGGAGTGTAGCAGTGAGGATGACCAGAGGTCACTCTCGTGGCCATATTGGTTTTGGTGGGTTTTGGCTGGTTTCTTTACTGCAAACTGTTTTATCAGCAAGGTTTTAAGGACCTGTATCTTGTGCTAACCTCCTATCTCATCCTGTGACTTAGAATGCCTTAACTGTCTAAGAATGCAGCCCAGTAGGTTTCAGCCTTATTTTACTCAGCTCCTCTTCAGGATGAAGTTGCTCTAGTTCACATGTCTTAGACATTTCCTCCCTCCCTTTTATAAGAGAACCCTTAATCCTAAGGTTGTAGGGGGACAAAGATTCATCTTCTGTAACTTCTTCAGGCTGAATAGGGGAAATGATATTCCTGCCTAACTATTAGGGTCTCTGTGTTCAGGGTAGAGAGGAGCTCAGTCAGAAAGCCTCAGTATGATGAAGGCCATTCAGAACTCTTGAGTCCTGATGAAAGGTGATATCTGAAAGACTAATAAGTATTTAGTTTAAGAAAACATTTAGCAAGCTTAGTCTGCATTCCTACACAAAGAGTAAAACAGCAATATAACAAAATAAGCAAAATTATCCCAAATAAACTAAATTATAAGGCTCTTCATGAACTGGGCAACTACTGGAACCAAGCTGACATGAGGTGGTTAGCCAATTCCAATACATGCCCAGAATTAGAATACTGATCCAGATTTTTACATTACCAAAATGTCTTGTTTTTTCAGAGTAGCAAACAAAGATCACCGGTTGGTTCACAGGAAGAAGCAGGGTTAGCCTAAACTGCAGAAACAAACTTAACAACTGATGAGACTAGAATTTAATAACAAGTGTAACATAGGTCTTGAAACATAATATTCTCTCTCCTGTTTTCCATTTTCACTAAAGATAAGTCATAGTGAGACTAATTTGCTTTATTATACTTGGCCTGATTATTTGTATAAAGTACAGCAAGAATAATTATTTTTCACATAGACTTTTAACACTGGCTTTGATGAAACTTTGTTTCTTAGAAGGAATCTTAGATAAGACTCTTTTTGAGCTGAGCCCTACCATGGGTTTGTACCCTCAAATACCTATGAGTTTAGTAAATTCCTCTCCTCTTGGGGTCCCAAGATAACTTGGGGCTCCTGGACCTGTTAGAAGGTGACATTATTTACTTACCACAGGTCAGAAATCACGTACAGGGACTGTTGTAGCAAAGGTCTGAGGCCATTTCTCCAAGGGGCTTTTATTGACTTGGCAAGTCAAGTTTGATTCCTTAAAGGAGAGTATACCATTCCATCAAAGTCTTCGTAAAATAATCAGTTTCTCCAATTGTGTCTTGTTGCCAAAAATAATAATAATAATAAAGAAAACAAAACAAAACCCAACAGATTCTTATTACACTCATGCAAATAACTATATTGCCATAAATTAAGAATACTCACAACTAGTTTACAAAATCCAGAGAAATCAGGTAAAAAGAAAAAAATATGCTCTCAATTTTGTTCACACAAGTATACTTTACTCAATTGCTAAAAGCTATAATAGCTCAAAAGTTTTCTTGACTCTGAAACACAAAAGATCAGCAACATTTTACACAAAAAGTTAAAAAGGTTACTTTAGACTTTTGCTAGTTTAGTCCATGCAGTTAACTTCTGTTCTGCTTGATATTTATGAACATTTTAGCTCTCCCTGAGTCCTGAAAGGTTTCCCTCTGTTCTGATGTCACAATGTCCAAACTTATCAGAAATCTGCATTTAAAAGCACCAGTAGAGTCCTACAGTTAATTCTAAACCACCTTTTAAAGAGAACCAAAACAAGACCACTTTTGGATGACCAAAAGTCTTAGGACAGCCACAATTAAAGCCAAAATTGACTAGAAAAATGTGGTTGCCTCTGAGACACAATGATTTTAATGAACAATTATTAATAACATACACTAAGTCATATCAGGATTAAAGAATTTTTAAAAATAATTTTGGAACATGTACCAGTAACACATTTATACAAATACAGCCCAAAGAAACCCAAATGCCATTTTGTATTTGATAATGCTTCTTGTATTATTGTAATATTAAATAAGCCAAATGTCACTGTTGCATTTGTGCATTATTGATGTCAAACCCAATTCTTAGTAAAACTTTATAGACAAATGTCTTCAATCCTAATCATATTGACCATAAGGTAAGGTTTTTATAAACCTTTTATAACCCTTTACAAGTTTTTGTTAAAGAGTAGAGTAGTGCTTTTATTCCAATGTTCAGTTTCCAGAAAAACTGAATAATACCCCTTTAATTTTAGCCAATGTTTGCACACAGAATCTCTTTTACAGTTATTTTTTCACAACCCTTCCACAGCTTTCTTGAACAGTCAGCTTCATCCTAACTTGAAACCATCCTTTAATGCTTTAATCTAGGCAAAAATCTAAATTCCCATGACTTTATATTTTTTTAATTAAAAATATTTTTCTTTTTTTTTTTTTTTTTTTGAGACAGAGTCTCGCTCTTTCGCCTAGGCTGCAGTGCAGTGGCGTGATCTCGGCTCACTGCAAGCTCCGCCTCCTGGGTTCACGCCATTCTCCTGCCTCAGCCTCCCAAGTAGCTGGGACTACAGGCACCTGCCACCATGCCCGGCTAATTTTTTTTTTGTATTTTTTTAGTGGAGACAGGGTTTTACCATGTTAGCCAGGATGGTCTCAATCTCCTGACCTTATGATCCACCTGCCTCGGACTCCCAAAGTGCTGGGATTACAGGCGTGAGCCACCGCACCTGGCCATTTCACTTTCTTTACATAATTGCATATAAAACTGTTTCTTCAGTAGTATCAATTACATGTTATAATGTTGACTCTTACCAAGGTTTTTCACCAAAAGTTGCTAAATTTGGGATTTTAATTATGTACTAGGTGTGAAGCCTAGCCTGGGATACACCAGGCAGAAGTGCAGATAAAGGCTGACTCCAGCATAGCTAGGGGGCGTGGCTAACTCCGCAGGTCCCCAGGTCTTATCTAGAATCTAATGGCTTCAAGGTAGGTAAATTGAACAGCTTTCAAAAGTTAAAGAAGCAGTTTATGACCTTCAAGCATTTAGCAATCTTAATATCTGACCTGCCTAATTTAAGCCAAATGTTTACATTTTTGAAGATATTTTTATTTTACTGATAATCTTTAAAACTGTCTTTATTTCTGGAAAATTACTTAAGTCACATGAACTAAAAGGCATTATACTTTTTACTTTTCTGACAAAATATTTGATTTAAGCTCTCATTAAACCCATTAATCAATGCTGTTTTAGAAATAAACATCACACACACATAATACATGTAAATACATACACAGAAGAAGATAAAAAAAATTCATCCCGAGGCAGAAATTGAACCCTGAACACAGGATGCCATTGTGAAAAGAGAAAACATGGCCACATGCTTACAGCTTCAAGTTCCCAAGGACATGCAAGACAAGAAAAAAACTCATCCAGTTTTTCTCAGGAAACTGCAGCAAAGTTTGTAACAGACCAGTTTGCTGTTCTGCCTTGAAAAGCGTCCTAAGCCAGTGTTCTATCATAAGGTACCCCTCTTTATGACAGAATAATACAGAAAAACACACAAAGCACATCAGATTTGCTGCAGCTTAAGTCTAGCATCAAAAATCCTTTCTTCCATTAATCAAAACTTTATAGGAGATAAACAGTGATTTTTTACCATTAATTCAACCAGTTTGCACAGAGAAAGAGAGACAGGGAGAGACAGAAAGAGGAAAGCATTGCCTGAGGCAGGGTGGGGAAGGGGAGGCACTCAGAGAGATCAGAGAAAGACCCACCCATTGCAGTGACACTGAACAGTTCAGGTGGCCGCTTGATAGTTGTGAAGGATCTTTTCCAGCAGTCCCATCAGCTCTCAAGTTTTCCGTTTTAGGGAGAAATAGTTCCCCATGTCCAATGGTCCTGTACCTGCCTAATCCTGTTACCCACAGCTGTCAGCAAGGAGTTCAAGGCAGATTAATCCAAAGAGAATAGCAGTTAACATACCGTTCTTAGCTCAAAGGGACTTTACCCAGAGTGACCTTTCTAAGAGGGGCCACTAACCCCCTAAATCTTAGAAAGGGACTCTAATCCTCCTAAATTGGGCCTCTAACCCAAGGTCATTCAAGTGTCCTTGCCTTTTATTAAGAGGGGCCTTTAACCCACTCTGTCTTAGGAGAGACTCTAACTCCCCTAAGTTGGGCCTCTATCCCAATCCCATTCTTTACCTGAGTAGGTACTCCACCACTTATCCAAAGTTGTCCAATCAGTGCTGCAGTCTATTTCCTTGGGTTGGGGGGAGGTCTCCTTAGTATCATCCCTTCAGGGTTTGCCAGGAAGATGTTACACGACCCCAACACTTACCCAAAGTTATCCTTTGGTTCCGGGGTTTCCTCACTACGGTCTCTTCATAATCACCAGAAAGCTGTTACAGGAAAGGCTTCTTATCCAGACCCCAAAAGAGGATTCTTGAATCTCAAGCAAGAAAGAATTCAAGGGGAGTCCATAGCATAAAGTGAAAGCAAGTTTATTTGGAAAATAAAGGAATAAAAGAATGGCTTCTCTATAGATAGAGTAGCCGTGAGGGCTGCTTGTTGCCTATTTTTACGGTTATATCCTGTTTATATGCTAAACAAAGGATGGATTATTCATGCTTCCCCCTTTTAGACCATATAGGGTAACTTCCTGATGTCACGGCATTGGTAAACTGTCACAGCACTGGTGGGAATGTAGCAGGGAGGATGACCAGAGGTCACTGTTGTGACTATTTTGGTTTCAGTGGGTTTTGGCTGGCTTCTTTCCTGCAACCTGTTTCATCAGCAGGGTCTTTACGACCTGTATCTTGTGCTGACCTCCTATCTCATCCTGTGACTTAGAATGCCTTAACTATCTGGGAATGCAGCCCAGTAGGTTTCAACCTTATTTTACCCAGCTCCTACTTAAGATGGAGTTGCTCTGGTTCATATGTCTCTGACAAATCCACCCTTAAAAGTGGCATCATCTGATTCAAACTCCTGTCTTTGTACTTTTGCCTCTTAGGCTACTTCCCAGCGCGACTTCCTTCATCAGCTGCCTTTTTTCAGCTGCTTCGAAATAGAGCCTTATAATAGTTTTCTCTTACTGCTGTACCGTATTACTGCAAACTTAGTGGCTTAAAAACAACACAAACTTATTATCTTACAATTCTTTTGGTTAGAAGTCCAGGATGGGTCTCATTGGCACTTTGCTCTTTGGAGGCTCTAGGAGAGAATATGTTTTTGTTTTGTTTTTTTTTTTTCTCTTCTAGCTTCTAGAGGCCTCCCATATTCCTTGACTCATGGCCCCTTTCATTATCTTCAGGTGGCAACAGCAGGTAAAGTTCTCACATCACTCTCACCATAGTCACTTCTGAGTACCTATGTGTTTACACTGAGCCCACCTGCATAAGTCAGGATAATCTTCCTGCCTCAAGGTTAGCTAATTAGCACACTAAACTATCTACAAACTTAATTATCTTCTATTATGTATGGTAACATATTTACAGGTTCTGAGGTTTAGGACATAGACAGCTTTTGGAGTCATTATCCTACCTACCAGTAGCCCTTAGACAGAAAAGGAAGGCAAGGGTTGTTAAATTTAAGGAATATACTTTGGAGGAAGAAGGAGAGAAGAGGCAAACCCAGGATCAAATCATTGTAGACATTAATGTTTTTTTTTTTTCTTTAACAGACACATAGTGAACACCTGTTAAATATCAGGTGCTGTTTCAGATCCTGAGAATAGAGGCATAAACATAAAAGTCAGCATCCCTCTTCCTATATTGTGTCTGATCATTCATTAAACATGGATGTCAGGCATAGGAGAAGATTCTAGGGAAGGAATAACGGAAAGGCATGTCATTTGACCACATGGATTTTGTAGGCCCATGGGAAGATCACTATACCAAGAAACATAATTTGGTATTTGCAGAAAGGGAGAATTGTGTAAGGTATGGCGAGTACAGGGGAAAGAGTCTACAATCTTCTTGGGAAAATGGCACATTTCATGTAGTGCTATTGTTTTAAGTTATATTTGAAAGTGCAGAATAAATTTGCAGGTGTGCCGTGTAAGGGAAATACTATGCACAGCATGTTTGGAGATCAGTGTTGCTTAGAGCAAAGTAAGTGGGACTGTGAGTGGTAGGTGTGACTGGATTTCATAGTAGGCTTGTAATCATAGAAACCTTTGTATATGTTACACAATTTTTTTTTACCCATCCATCTCCTTCCTAGACGGATTTAACCCCTCCCCACTTTCCATTACATCCAGGGCTCTCCTGGCCCACAGCAATGTAGGAAAGTAGAAAACGATTTAGCAGATTGAAGAAGACAGAGCTTGTCAGCATACTATACACAGGTGTACTTGCAGAGTTGGTGAACACATAGAGACAAAGGGGTGATTATATTGTGTGTGTTTCAATCAGGCTGGGTATGATCTGGTCATTTGGTTTTCTTCACCTCTTCCTTTGGACATGTCTGGGATTCTGAAGCACTGACCCATTCTTCCTACTCATAAGAAGCAAGTGTTTTAGAATATGAGTGCTATTATTATTCAGGTATGGTAGAGCTAATGGATCAGGAGACAGCTGCCACTGAAAATACAGTTTGTTACTTACAGTTCCCAAGAAGAAGGGGCATGACACACTATGCAGGGCCACACAGGCCCAGTTTTTTTGTTTGTTTGTTTTTCTTGAGATGGAGTCTCGCTTTGTCGCCCAGGCTGGAGTGTAGTGGCATGATCTTGGGTCACTGCAACCTCTGTCTCCCAGATTCAAGCAATTCTCCTGTCTCAGCCTTCCAAGTAGCTGGGATTACAGGTGTGCACCACCATGCCTGGCCAATTTTTGTATTTTTAGTAGAGATTTCTTCATGTTGATCAGCCTGGTCTAGAACTCCTGACCTCAAAGTGATCCACCTGCCTCAGCCTCCTAAAGTGCTGGGATTACAGATGTGAGCCACTGTGCCTGGCCCCAATTTTTTTTTAAGGCCTGAAACAAATTATTTGAAACCCAGTCATACTCTGTCATCTTTGACCCAGTTAAAACTTCTCCCTGTGTGGTTGTCAGCTATATGGTCTGTTTCTCATTCCCCTGACCCAAAACCCAACACACTCCAGAGCTGCTGACCATGATAAAGCCTAATGGCCAATGCTAGAGTCCTGCAAGTAAGTTTCCTCCTTCTGAAACATTTAAAGTAGCTGACCCATAACCCCCATAGGAAAGCCTAAGGAATAGTTCCACCGGCCCTCACCCACCCCCTCTTGCCCTTGCCTGTGCCCTCTCTTCCCTCCTCAACTGGATGAGCTCCGTGCCATCTTCACACTTCTCTTGGGCCTCTCTAACCTCTTTGGGTTCTGTGAGTAATAAATTTCTTCCTTTCATGCATTTTGTTTTCACTTCCTCCACTGTGTCTCACCTGACACTCACACCTGAATCTAACTCCCCCTCCCCTGAGTCAGAGGTCTCCTAGAGAGTGGCTATATTGGTTTATGGCTAGTCTAAAAAGAGAGACCTCATGACCAAGTTAGAAAAAAATCATAGCAATAAGAATCACAACAGTGGGTCAGAAGATAGAAGGAGTGACAGGAAACATTGGCAAGAAACTTTATTGTGGTTTTCACTGAACAAATGAGTGAGGCAGGGTACACAGGCTAAATAGGTTTAGCATTGGCTGGTTTAAATTTTTGAGCAGGCTACAAAGTGTAGGGATTATCTCAAGTTGTTTAGTACCTGGCCCTGTGGTAATTAGGGTAGGAGAATAGGGGCTCAGAGTATGAGAGCCCAATAAAGAAGGTGGGTTGGAGTAGAGGTTTGGATTGGTTGATTTGATATGAAAGGCATGCTCTAGGGAAAGCAGTTTGCTACCCCTAGGAATGAGTTAACCCTGAGAGGGTCAGTCCCTCCAAGATCAGCAAGTCCCCAGATGTCAAAACATCAGAAAATATGGATGTCAAAACATTAGAAAATACAGACAATAAGAAGGCATGATTAATACAGTATGTCCTTCTCAGTACCCAACTGATATGGTTTGGCTCTGTGTCCCCATCTAAATCTTACCTTGAATTATAATCTCTATAATCCACACGTGTCAAGGGTGGCACCAGGTGTAGGTAATTAAATCATGGGAGCAGTTTCCCCCATGCTGTTCTCATGATAATGAGTGAGTCTCACGAGATCTGATGGTTTTACAAGCATCTGGCATTTCCCCTGCTGGCACTCACTCCATCCTGCCACCCTGTGAAGAAGGTGCCTGCCTCTCTTTTGCCTTCCACCATGATTGTAAGTTTTCTGAGGCCTCCCCAGCAATGTGGAACTGTGAACCAATTAACCCTCTTTGCTTTATAAATTACACAGCCTCAGGTATTTCTTCATAGCAGTGTGAGAACAGACCAATACACCAACTGTAATGGTCTTACTGTGGGAGGATATCAAAGTGACTCAAGAAGAAAAATATAGAGCTCTTTGACACCATCGTAGACTCTAGTGTGAACTTGACATTATAATACAGTGCTATTTTTCTAGTAAAGGACTAATTTTCCTTTTTTCAAAATAAGGGATAGTCATAAGTTTTTTTCTTTTTAAAACTTAGATTGTATATATTGTAGACCATGGGGGAGCCAGTGAAGGATGCTGCAGAAAGAGTGATAGAAACAGATTTTTGCAATTTGGAAGATTATACTTGGGTATAATACTAATACTAGATTAGATGAAATGAGGATTAATAAGGAACTAGAGAGATTAATGAGCTCTTTTATATTTATTTGGCAAGCTAGTAAAAAGGGCATAAACATGTCAGTGGTTGCAGTGATTGAGATAGTAAACTAAGATATTTAGGAGTTAGAAATGAAAGTGTTGCATAAAAATTGGATGTCCAGGGCAAAAGAGAGAGAAATGTGGCACAACTCTCAGCGTTCATATATTGTACAAATAAATGACTCCGTCAAGTCAGGAACTCAGAGGAAATGCAGCTTGGGAGGGAAATATGATATGAGTTTTACCTTTAGGTAGAAGTATTCAGTTGGTGTCCTGAATAAATTTAAGTTCAAATTTGGATCAAAATGGAAGGTACAGATCTTGAATTCATTAATCCCTAAGTGGTGATTCTTGTGTTCCCAGTCCCCATCACAGAGTAATGAATAGCAACTACCTCATGGAAAGAGAAAGGACTGCTACCTTCTCAACAATTCTTCTCTCTGAAAGTCCCTTTTCTTTGCTCATTGTCTTATCTTTCTCCATCAATGGAATTAGGTGGCAATTCATTTCTGTCAAGCTCATCAGTATTTGAGGTACCCTGAGTTATCTCTGTTTAATTGTGGAAGGTGAATTAATTCACAAGAGGAGAAACTATTTGCTGTTCTGAGACTTTAATCAGTTTCTGTATCATCCCACATTTCTTCTTCAGGAAGTTTTCACCAACTTGCTGATAATAAAGTCGCAGTAGGTGTTCTCCTGTTAACTGGATTCTAACAGACATTTCTTTTTTGAGGCTTCATCTTGAGGTCGAGCCTAGTTTTCTACGCACTGGAATTTCAAAGGATTATGCTACCTCCCCCCAGATTAATCAACTGATAAGAAAAAGTATTTCCATGGTAAGTTACCTCAAAATTTGTAAGGACAAAGCTAATTATAAATCTCCTTTCATCTGACAACTAAGTTTATTCTCTTCAGAAAAGTGCTCTCCACATTCACTCCATCCTTCCTTTCTACTTCACTGCTCCTTCATTGACAACTGTTCTGGTCTCATCTTTCTTTTATTTGTTAACTCAGGGACTAAAACAATTCTGTTTCTTGTCTTGAATCTCCAGTGTTCTTCCAGTAAGAGCAAATCTATTCCACCTTCTTGCCTTTCCTTCCTAGACCTGGTCTTTGCTCCATTTTAATAAAGATCAATTCATTTTACTTCTGTACTGTATCCTTGATTAAGCAGTAGTAAGAAAATTTGATCCACTGCTTGGCCAAAACTCTGAACCATCTCTTGAATAGTTTTGAATTCTAATTTAATATATTTGATTGTATGCTCTCTGAATTTCTATTCCTGACTTTCCTGGCATTTGATCTCCATTGGTATGGTAGGCAGAATTCCAAGAATGACCTCCAGTGACTCATGCCCATGTATAATGTCCTTCACTTTCAGCATGAGTGGAACCTAAAAATATGATATGTCACTCCAGCGATTATGTTACATTATTTGACAAAATAAATACTATTCAGGTTGGCCTAACCTAATCACCAGAGCCCTTTAAATGCAGAGTTTTCTGTCTTGAAGCAGAAGTGGGTATCACAGGATTTTAAACATGAGACAGATTTGATGTGCATTTGAAGATCAAGGGGACCAGAAAGAAACTGCAAGGAGCTGACAGCCAATAAAAAATGGAGACCCTAGACCTGCTGTCACAAGGAACCAAATTCTACCAGTACTAGGAATAATCTAGGAGGAGTAGCCAATCTCCTGATGAAAATGCAGACAGCTGACCCCTTGATTTCCACCTTATAAGACCCTGAGAAAAATCCAGCCATACTTTCCTGGACTTCAGACATACAGAACTGTGAGATAAGACAATTGTTACTTTAACCTACTGAATTTGCAGTAATTGGAAAACTAATATAGGTGGGTATCACCCAACATGCATCTTTGGGGAACTAAGTAAATCTGCTGTATCTCTAGCCTATCTATTCAAAGCCATGGATATTGATCTTAAAAGTTACACCTGCATCTACCCAAGTGAGGTTCTGCTCCTCAATAATCCCTGTAAATAAACAGTTCATTTCTCTTAAACATACAGTTACACACATACATACAAAATAACTTTCTTCTCTGTGGGTGATCCAGAGCCCACACAAAGTCTGCATAATGTTTACTACCCTCTTTTACTGCTGCTGAGGCCATTGTACCACTGAGAAGGTCTTGCTGTCACTGTTCTCATTTTCCTAAACAACGTGATTAACCATTGAGATATCTTTGAAGAATCTTAGAAGGGTATTTGCAAATCTGTGGGTTGTCTTCACTTGGTTAAAATTCAATTTCATTAAAATTTCTCTACATCTGTGTCTGAAAGTTTGTCTAGAAATGTGCTGTGGTTTGAATGTGTTTCTTCTAAAATTCATTTTGAAATGTAATCCCCATTGTGGCAGTATTAAGAGGTGGGAAGTGATTAGGTCATGAGGGTTCTGCTCTCATGAATGGATTAGTGACTCATAAAAGGGTAGGGAACCAGCTTAGGCACTTTTCTCATGTGATGACATAGCACTCAAGGTGCCATCTTGGAAGCAGAGACCAAGGCCCTCACCAGAAATTGAACCTGAGGTGCTTTGTTCTGGGCTTCTGAGCCTACAGAACTGTGACAAGTTCATGTTTATAAATTATCCAATCTCAGTTATTTTGCTATAGTAGCACAAATAAACCAAGACAAGTGTTCATATTGTGTTGATGCCCTATAGTCTAGTGGGATATTGACAAGAAATGAAGGGTTTAATAACAACCAAAAAGGTGTCCTAGAAGGACAAAAATGGAAAGAGGGAAGCAGGGCATATCAAACCTAGGGGAGGACATTGGTATACTTTTGTGTGAACCAAAAATAAAATCCTAAGCCCCACAACCAACTGTGTGGACCCCTTCTCTTGGCCAAGAGCATTCCAAAGTTAACATGAAAAACCAGTTCAGTTCTTAGTGGGAAGTGGGGTCAGACATGCCTCATTATACCCTCTTCACTTTAGAATTCAGGCACAACCAACCAGCATTAACATTACAATGGAAACCTTATGAGTGACAAAACAGACCCTTTGTAGCAATAAGACACCAACATGACTCCTAGCAGGCCCTGAAAAAAATCAATATTTTACCCCAAAATGTATTTTCCGACATATTTTTAAACGGCCCTACAAAGCTGTCTATCATGAGGGAAATCTACATTCTGTAGATAATTCTCTTTCCTTTTCAGGTTTTTCCCCTGATCCAGAAGAGAATTATGAGTCTGGCACCTTTTAAAAGTTTGATTAAGAAATACAATCTATTCTCTCTGAAGCCTGCTCCCTGGAGGCTTCATCTGCATAATAAGAACCTTGGTCCCCACAACCCAGATACTTCTTTATATTGATTTCAAATCTTTAGACGATAACTTAACTCTTTCAACCAACTGCCAGTCTGAAAAATCTTTGAATCCACCTATGACCCGGAAGCCCCCTCTTTGAGTTGTCCCACCTTTCCAAATTGAAACAATGTACAGCTTACATGTATTGATTGATGTCTGATGTCTCCAAAAAGGTATAAAACCAAGCTGTAGGCTGACCACCTTGGACACACGTTCTTAGGCCCTTGAGCCTCTGCCTCTGGCCATGCTCACTCATGTTTGGCTCAGAATAAATCTCTTCAAATATTTTACAGAGTTTGGCTCTTTTTGTCAATACCTGTGAGGTAACTTCTCTTATTTGCGGTGAGGAATTTTGAGGGCAGGCTTTTCCTCTTTGGTATGCACCTTTTTTTATGTGGAGAGGATGTGGCAGCTATGCAGTGCTGTGGATGAACTGCTGGCGCAGAGATACACACATGTCTGGTTGGTGCTAGCAGACTTCAGGGTCAGGAGAAAAGATGCTATAGTATTTCAAGAAACATGATACCTCTCAGAGACATCTCCTTTTTCAATGCTCCCAGTGCCAGGTGAATAATAGACTAGCTTCAGTCCAAGTCCTGGGTTCTGTCGATACCAGTACATTGCAACATGATTCATATTCTGGGGACACAGTAGAATGAATTCCTTTCCTGTCCCAATGATTCTGTGTCTTGGGAATTGTGTAACTACAGCATCCTTGAGGCCTGTTGGGAAAAATGGGTGATCAAATAAAGACAGAGCCTGGGAAAGAGGAGACTAATGTGACTTTTATGAAGAAACATTTTATAGTTAGATCCTGTGAATTCAGTAATAGGGATTCCTCACCTGTGCCCAGGACTCACCTGCTCTTAGGAGACAAATGATCACACAGCAGAGAAGCCTGTTGCTCATGGCAGCACCAAAAGCAGGATGTTGCTTGGTGCTGTGATTAATTTAGTCTCTGATACCAGCACTTTTCATTCACTTCCTGGCCAGAGAAACAACGCTTGTCTCTCACACTGCCAACAGCTACATAACTGCAAATCATGTAGCCAAGGCATGTGCAACAGTAAAAGCTTTGACTTCTAACAATACCCAGAACCAAAGATTCCTCCCCTTAGAAACAAGAAGACCAAGACATGACTGGAACCTGAAAGCCGGACCTCTTTCAGTAGTGAGGGGTCCATTGGCCCAGAAGCTCCTGGGCTAAAATGTGCCTCAACATATCTTACCATAGATAGTCATATTTGAAGCCCTCCAATCAGACCCTACCAAATCAACATTCCTAAATCCTTTCCCTTGCTCTCTGATCCCTTAAAACCTGCCCTAGACCCCAAATCAGGGAAACAGATTTGAGCTCACTCCTTTCTTTTTGCTGACTGGTTTTTCAACAAAGCCTTTTCTTTTCTCAAAAGCTGGTGCCATAGTTATTGGCTTCTGTGTGCAAACCCATTTGCTTGATAACAAATATAGGTGCCCAATGTGAGGCCAATGCCTGCCAAGGCACTGTAGCCCCTCAGTGGGAACTAAAGTTTCTTCACTGACCCTGAGTGGTGCTACCTAGACCAGTTTATCCAGAGGCTTAGCTGTGAGGTCCTTATTCTCTGTCATGACATTTCAGGCCCTTTGAGTGCTACTTTCTCTTTTGAGGAAAGAAATTGCTTCTGGATAAGATGTCTTTTGGAGTCAGTACCTTGGTAATATGTGCTTACACCTTAAATTATCTTTGGTCTAGGAGTGTAGATTAGAGTCCTATTTTTGTGTAGCTTCATGGGTTTGAATCCTACCCTAGGGAGGTCCTGGTTAGATTATTTCAGTCCTGGCTTTGGGTTAGGGTCTGAAAGAATAAGTGCAATAGTAAGGTGCTGTAACTGTTAGAGTACTCAATTTGGCTTGGTTTTGGTTTTCCTTTGTGTTTCTGAGTTTTTGGTTTGCATAATTATTCATCCTAACAGAGGTTAAAATTTTTGATGGTTGTGACAAGAACCTCATTAGAAGTTTATTTAAATGAAAGTCCTTGGATTCCAAAGATGAAATACATTGCTTCCTCCTGCCCTTTAGGGTGTTCCTAGGTGACTAAGAGCCTGGCAGAGGTGTTGAGGCCATTGGCTTACGATGTAAAGTGATAAACCAATCCCCCATTCCTGGGTCAGAAAGAACTTCAACAGCTCATCCAGGAGGAGCACATAAGGGATCTTGGTAACCCCAACATCTCGAGCGGCCCAATACCATCTGGTGTTTAGGACCCTCTGAGACATGTAAGAGGGAATATCTAGCCCATTGGTGATTCTCTGAAGAGGAATCCCCATAATCACCACACCACAGACCGAGAACACCTCGTTTGTACAGGAGCTTGTTCCAGTTATTTCAGATAAAACTCTATACAAAATGGGAAACTTTAATAACATACTTGTCTATAGTCTTTTAAGATAAAACTTCCCACAGATCAACACACCACATGCCACAGCTTACTGATAGCAACCAGTAATGATGAGACCCAGGGACTTCTATACACTCTATTAGCTCTGTCAACATTTCCCACAAAGAAGTGCAGATGACAGTTGGTGTGGAAAAGTGATGTATAGATTTTCTAGTTGACCATGGAGCTACACACTCTATCCCAAACATAAGACAAGTCCCCATCTTCCCAAAGACCACTGCTATTACTGGTGTATCTGGGGAAACATCCTTGCAAGCCTTTCCTTCAACCACTCAAATGCCACAGAGGAAAAACCTATTTAAACATAGCTTCCTATATATGCCTGAATGTCCAATACCTTTGTTGGGATAAGACTTGCTAACAAAATTAAATGCACAAGTAATTTTTCACCAGAATGAATCAATATTAGAGTGTCTCCTAAACAAGCCTGCACCCTCCAAGTTGCCTTATTACAATGAGAAGAAAGATACCACCTGAAATCCTAAAAGAGGCTCTAAAAAAACAGGCTTGACTTGACAAATCAGTTTTTGAAATACCCAGACCTGGGAATGTTTACCAATGTGAACAGCTTCATGGATCAGGGTCTCTGAAAAGCCAGATAAACACCTAGTGACTTACCAGAAAATCTTAAAACCTGAGGCTTTCCCACCAGGTATCTCTGCCCAAAAGGCAGAACTTATTGCCCTCACACGAGCTTCACACCTCAGGACAAATAAAAAGGTAACCATTTATATAGAATCCAAATATGTCTTTTTGGTAGTGCATGTAAATGGAGCCATATAAAAGACAGAGATTCACTAATCTCTTAAAGAATAAAATTAAACATACAAGAGAGATATTAGACTTATTAGACTCAATTTTCCTGTCAAAAAATGGCCATAATGCAGTGCCCAGGACACCAAAAGACTGATAGCTAGATAACTAAATGCAATAATCTAGCTGATCAGGTAGAAAAACATACAGTTAGGATAAAACAGCCTAAAACAAAGGCTCTGGTACTTATTCCAAGTATGAATCTGTCCTTATTTAAACCCAGTACTCAAAGGTAAATCTAGAAAGAGCAAACCAGTAGGGATTTCATACTCATACTCAAGACTTGGAGAGGGAACACTATAAAATAACTAAAGAAGTCTAGATTTACAGTGAACAAGGAATAGTTCTTGTCCCTGAGCATTTGATAAAGGATTATTTCCCAGTTATATCAAAGAACTCATTATAGAAGAAACACAACCTATCATTAGTTACTGAAGTTTATTGTCAGGCTGCACGTACAAAAGACTATCCAAAATTGTCTTATTTGTGCTACAGAGAATCCAAAGACAGGACCACCTCCAGCAGGCAAAGGGGTCTAAACCTGAGGAAGAGAAACAAGACAAGATTGTCAAATAGACTTTGCAGTTATGCCAGGAGCTGGAGGAAACTATAGATACCTGTCGGTACTTGTAGACACCTTCACTAGACGGGTCAAGTTCTTTCCATGTCAAACAAAAAATGCATCTGAGGTAACTCAAGCTTTATTAAAAGACATAATTCCTTACTTCGGATTGTCTATTTCAATTCAAAGTGACAACAAATACCAGACTTACCTAAGAAGTTTATGGAGCTCTTAGGATACAGTGGAAATTAAGCATCTCTTAGAGGCTCCAGTCTACTAGAAAGACTGAAAAGATAAACAATATCTTATAAAATGTACTTGCCAAAATGTGTCAAAAACCCAATTTAACATAGGATAAGGTCTTGCCACTTGCCCTGCTTAGAGTAAGAATGGCCCCTAAAAGCAAGCACCAGTTTAGCCCCTACAGAATTCTATGTGGGACAACCCTTCTTATGACTAAATATTATTTTAACATTGAAAATCATCATGATGGGTAAATGCATTAGATGCTATAAAATGTGTACAGTCTCTGGGTATAACTTTGTCTGCTATACATAATTACACTTCTAGCTGTTTTAATGTTTCCTATAGATGTTCCCTTTACATTGTCTAAGTCTAGGAAACTGAGTACAACTTACGACCTAGAAAAATCACCACCCTGAAGACCAACTACAGTTCAAATAGATTAGGCCCTATGAAGTTCCTTTAGTGATCCATTCAGCAATAAAGTTAAAAGGGTTGAGGCCCTAAATTCATCATTCATGGGTAAGAGTTATTCCCATTTTCAAAAGATTCCTCTTGGTCCCTGTAAAATTCCCAAACAGGTCATGCCCTTCACAGGTAAGAAAAACCAAAGGACCAGACTGACCATATACTAGATGGCTGTGGAGGCCCACAACCAGTTTTTCCACCCAGGAACACACTTGGAAACCCCTAAATGATCTTAAGTTACTTTTTAAAAAACTCAATAAGACCAAAAGGGCTCCTGACTCTCCAGATAAGTGAAAATCATTTCTGTGTCTAAAACCAGCCTCCATCTGATAGAACTACGAGGGCAGAAACAGGAGACAACTAAAGGAGACAGCTTGCCCAAGATATTGGGTGAGGCCTGTATTAATGCAACTTAATTTTTACCTTGTTGTCATATATATTATTCTGCGCTATTGAATTAATCACCTCTACCTCCTTGATTTAACCTCAAAAATATATTTAGGACCTTATAGCCCTTCCTTGGGTAGAGTTTATTTTTTTCTGATCCTTTTCTTTCTATCAGCCAAATATCTCCTCTCAGTGAAACAAAATGATTTCCTCTGTTTAAAATGCCCACAGTTTTCCTCTATTATATCCTTTTATATCCTTTTGCTTGCCTTAACCTCAACATAAAAGGATAATTTCTTTCTTTCTTTCTTTCTTTTTTCTTTTTCAGACAGAGTTTCCCTCTGTCGTGCAGGCTAGAGTGCAGTGGCACGATCTCGGCTCACTGCAACCTCTGCCTCCTGAGTTCAAGTGAACACATCTGGCTAAATTTTGTATTTTTAGTAGAGATGGGGTTTTACCATGTTGGCCAGGCTGGTCTCAAACTCCTGACCACAAGTGATCCACCCACCTCAGCCTCCCAAAGTGCTGGGATTACAGGCATGAGCCACCACACATGGCAAAAAAGATAATTTCTTGATAAAAATGTCCCAATCCCTACCTACCTCACAAAATCTATCTAAATGTTAGAGATGTCATCAAAAACCCTCCTCTGCACTTGATCACACTGATCTGCTGCTTATCTCTGTGACCAGCTTCTCTAAAGTGCCTAATTTTCTGGTGACTTATGATCAAAAACCCACAGTATAAGTCAGATTTGCTGGTGGAGGATCATTAGTTCCCTGTTTTTCATTAACATCCCCTTCAAAGACACTTATGTTAGGATAAAGGGGCCTATGCCCACAGAAGCCAGACATTGGCTAACTCAGAAACAGAAGTCATCTGTTTACTTGACACACCTACTATCCACTTCCTGTTTTCTATCCTCTGGTCCAGGAGAGATACACTGATGTGTCCTCAAACTGTAGATCTACATGATTATGTCAAGATTTAAATAAAAAGAACCTAGTATACCTTCAGGGACTGCCCTCTTCCCTACCAATTTGTAAGTTAGAAAACTTCTTCTAGACTCTTCTATACTCTGGCTCCTACTTTCACCAAGTCCTAAGTAAAATTCCTCAAACTGAGAACTTAAATGTTAATATATCTGGTATTCTATGCGCCTCCTCAGGATATGTCTTTGTCTATGAAACAAACGACCAGCCCTGGGACTATGAATGCCTTGACAGCTGATGCCCAAAAGACATCTGTTTACTAGGGTACTTAGTCACTCCTTTCTCTGTCTATGACATTAGTGATGCTAGGCATTAGACTAACACCATAAAACTGTTCATAATGGCCAAAAGATCTATGCTAAACCTCCTCCCAGGTAAATATTTACCAGGTGGCCCACCAGATGGTATAGGATATTTCTTTAGACAAACTCTGTTGCCATGGTGGGTAGTTGCTTCTCATAAACATATGATTAAAAACCTTTCCATTGCCCTGAAAAAGCTTGCCAAGGAGACCACAATGGCCATGGTGGCTCAACAGAGAGAGCCAGGTGCTTTGGCTAAAGTAATACTAGATAATAAAATTACCCTAGATTATATACTAGCTAAACAAAGAGGTGTTTATGCTTTAATACATCATGCTGTATTTACATTAATACTTCTAAAAATGTTGAGACAGACCCAAATAATAATAGACCAAAAGCCACTTGACTCCATCTAGTGTTCTCTAACAAACCTGGATATAATATGTAAACATGTTTTCATCAGGAATAAGATCTATTTTTGAGGGTCTACTTAAACTAAAAATTATATTTCTGTATGTGTTGAGATTTCTCTTCCTTCTCTCAAGTTCTCTACCTGTTGTCTATCTTGTCTTTTTAAATCAATTCCCCCTGCTCATGAAATAATTATTAAATATCAAAATAATTCCCTGACCCACCTGTTTGACTTCAACCCAGGACCCATGAACATTTGCAATTAATTATGAAACAATTTCATTCCTCAAACCCAGACCTATGTCCCTTGTCAACAAAAAGTAGCTAGAGTGGTAGACACTCAATTCCTTCAAGATT
Source organism: Homo sapiens (assembly GCF_000001405.40). Lineage (NCBI taxonomy): Eukaryota > Metazoa > Chordata > Mammalia > Primates > Hominidae > Homo > Homo sapiens. Next base: position 33,689,516 of record NC_000009.12, on the reverse strand, counting down.
GAGAACTAAACTAAACTAAACAAAAAGGGAAGAATTTGTAACTGTAGGATCAGCCCAAACTGGGTCTATTATGTGGATAACAAAATGTTGAGTTTGCTTGTAGGTACAACAGAGCCAAAAGCTTTGATCTCGAACAACACCTGGAATGAATGATTCCTCCCTTCGGAACCAAGAAGACAGGAAGATGCCTGCAATCTGAATGCCAAAACTCTTTGAGAAGCAGTGGGTTCATTGGCTGGGAAGATCTGGGCTCAAATCTACCTCAACCTACTTTACCATAAATGGTTAAATCTGAAGCCCTCCAGTCAGACTCTATCAACCCAGTATTACTAAATCCTTTCTCTCAGTCCCTTAAAACTTGTCCAAGACCCCAAATCAGGAAGACAGATTTGAGCCAGCTCATGTCTCCTTGCTGACCAGTTTTGCAGTAAAACCTTTCTTTCCTCAAAAGCTGGTGCCATGGTTATTGGCTTCTGAGCATATCAGACAGCAAGCCCATTTACTTGATAGCACTACCACAAGGTTAGTGGCTAACAAAGAAGGCTCTGGAGAGATAGTGCCTGGGCTTAAATATGGGTTCTGCTACTTAAGCTCATTTTAGGCAAGTAAGTTAACTGTGAATGCTTCAGTTTTACTCTCTGTAAATTGTACTAATAAAAGTATGAACCTCATGGATTTGCTGTGAAGATTAAATGAATTAATGTGTTAAGAAGTTACAACTGCACAGTGTATAGTAATCACTCACTCAGGCTCAACTTCCAGAATGGTCAGCTAGTAGTAGCACTCTTACTGCTACCACCATTAGTTATGATTGAGTCTTATTCTTGTGCTAGGGATTGTGTCAGGCAGTTTACATACATTTTCTCAATTAAATAAAACTCACAGCCATGTGTGACTATTTCCATTTTATAGGCTAGGAAACTACCTTTAGAGAGGTTAAGTAACATGGCAAAACTAGATGGTGACTGGATCAGTCCAGTTCTAAAATATGTACTTTCAACTATTAATAATAAATTTTTCAAATATTCTATACCTTGCATTTTTAACTTTTTCTTTTTAGAGTTTGGCTGGAGGCTTCTTCAGAAATTATTTTCATTTTACTCTAATTCCCAAAACTGAAAATGCACTTAGCATGCTACCCTCTATGGCCTGAAATTCAAAATATCTTTTATTACCAGGTGTCATTGACTAGCTCTGTTTATTTTTTTCTGAAAACCTTGATGAGCACTCTTACAACAAGTGGCTTACTCAAACCCAGTTCTTTTATCTCAGAATTGGTGGATCTCTTTTCATGAGTGGCTTCTGTAAAATCCTTTATTTGTCCTCTTCTAAGTTCTATCCTTTGGTTGTCCTACTTCTTATTTCTAAACTGACTTCCTTCAGCATTTAGTATATCTTGAATGATTACAAACATTTCATTATCGTGCTGAATCATCCTTGAAATTTCACTGATATCTTCTTAGAAGAATGATGATATTGTCAACTGAAGAATGAGGAAGTTCAAATTTGGAAGGGAGAGCTTTATTTCTCATAAAGGGTTGCAGCCTGCAGTGTGGCCATTCTGACAGGCTGGGAAGCACAGCTCTGGCAAGAAGCCAGAAACAGACATGTCTAGGGAGGGGCAAAGGGAAAAGAAATACATGCTGAGTGGAATGGCCAAATATAGATATACAATAAGGTATAGGAGGAGTCATGAACATTAATAAAGGGAAAAACGTGTGCTTCCACAATTGAGTTTCCTGCTCCTTCATGGGACCCCTGTAAAAAAAAATGGCCATGTTAGCATGATCTGGGGGTGGAGTTTTCAGCTCTCTGACATCAAAAGGTGAAGCAAAGGACACCAAAAGCCTCACTACATGTCCTCCCTAGACTGGCCAGAAACACCGTTTGGTTGGTGGCCTCTTACCAGGCAAAAAGGAGGGGCAGCATCAGACTTTCTGTTGCTTTTAGGGATGGAGTCTTTTGAAAGGGCTGGTTTGTGTTTAGCCTTTAGGGAAGAAAACGTCATCACAGCTCCAAGGGAGAGGTATAATAAGGTGTGTCTGACCCCTCCATCCTGTCCTAGCCAAGAACTCAATGTTCAAGGTTACTCTGGGGTGCCCTTGTCCCAGAAATGGTCCTTTCAGTCAGTTGGTGGGTATAGGATTTTATTTTTACCTTACAATTCTGAAGAATTATGTCTTCTTAAATATATTTCCGTTTTAGGTAAATATTTCATCCAACCGAACGCATTTTTGTTTTAGCAATTTCTCTTCCTATTGGCTACAGTCTGCTTCCAATGGAGGGAATAATTTTAGGGAATGTAATTCTTGGAGTAATCCTGTAGTTTAATATGTAACATAATATTCTCCCACCTGCTGCTTTTTGTTGCAGCTGCCTCCTTGCTGAGATGGTGCTGGTGCATATGTTTATGTGTGTGAATCTGGGAGTAAGTTCACTTGAGGTTAGGGTCTGAGATGGGGAAAATAAATATGCTACTCGAGCCTTGTTATAAATAGAATAAATTCCAAATTGAAATTTCCTCAAGGGGTTTACTTCCTATGATCCTTTGTCTTTCCCTTCCTCTCAGGAGCAGGATTTAGTGTATTCCTGTGGCTTAGCAGAGGCGAAGTCCCACCCTGATGGCCCATTGAGTGTCAGTGAAGAGATTCGCCAAGGGAGTAGCTCTGCACTGACTCCAGAGATTGTTGTGAAGCACCTCACTGGAAGTCCCTGAAGTTGAGAGGTGTGGCATTCATAGAAATGAGCCAATGTAGAAGTTTAAGCCAACTGCATCTGCCTTTATATAAGGCATCATCAGAGTAGAGGTATTTTTATTCCTGTGTTCCTCTTCAGTATTTTCCACAGAGATTTTCTTCATCAGCCTCCTATTTTAACCTGCTTAGCAACAGGGCCCCCTCTTAACTAGGGAAGGGGGTTGAGACCTAAGACATGAGATAGTTAATAAATAATTCTGGGGTAAGTAGGAGATGGTGAGGTGTAACTGCAGGGTCAATTCCATAAAGGCATATTTGGGTCTTTCATATTATTGAGTAAATATACATCTATGTGCACCATAGTACTAGACTCTGGGATACAAGCATGAACAACAAAAAGAAGGTCTGTTCTCCCATGGGGACTTATAATTCTGTATTCTATATATCATTCCTAGTCCTACTACTGCAGTTACAAAGGTAAAAAGATTTACGGTCCCATCTTTCAAAGACCATACTTGCCTAGAAGGAGTCAGACACGACCAAAAAGCCATAATACAGTAACAGACTTTAAATTGTTGTAAACACATAGGAAAATAAACCTCCATATCTCCCTGGGAAGAAAGGACTTCACAGAGGTAGTGTGGGTTTAAGTAAGATTTGTAGGAAAATGAATAATTTCCTGGTAGACTAGGCTGGGGGACCAGCCTATGCAACATCTAAGAGAATATGATATTTTTGGAGTTTGCAAAGAGTTCAGTAAAGCTGGAGAGTATCCTTAAGAGACGGGAATGGCTGAAGAGGAGCGTAAATTTCCAGATAGGATTAGTATGTGTTCTCTCTCAATGCCTTTCTGAGACAGTATTTTCTACCCACCCCTTTCCCAGTGCTCAGGCCAACCCCATTGACTAATATAATGGATTTGATGAGTAAGTTTACTAATGTTGAACTACCCTTACCATCCTGGAGCAAACGCCAATTTGTAGGTTATTTTCTAATGTCATTATTTGATTCACTATTATCGAATACTTTTTTTTATCAATACTAATCAGTGATGTAAGTCTATAGATTTTTTTTTTTTTTGAGTTGGAGTCTTGCTCTGTTGCCCAGGCTTGAGTGCAGTGGCACGATCTTGGCTCACTGAAACCTCTGCCTCCCGGGTTCAAGCGATTCTCCTGCCTCAGCCTCCCGAGTAGCTGGGACTACAGGCACGTGCTGCCACGCCTGGCTAATTTTTTGTATTTTTAGTAGAGATGGGGTTTCACTGTGTTAGCCAGGATGGTCTTGATCTCATGACCTCATGATCCGCCCCCCCTTGGCCTCCCAAAGTGTTGGGATTACAGATGGGAGCCACCACGCCTGGCCGGTCTATAGATTTTTTTTTAAGGTGCAGTTTTGTTGAGTTTTGTTATAAATATTAAGGTCATGTCATGAAAATAATTTAGAAATTTCCCCTACTTTTCTATACTTTGCAATGTTTTAGGTATTCTCAAAGTCCCTGATTTTAAAAGGTGTGGAAAAATCCCTGTAAGAAACTATATGGGACTGGCGCTTTTCTGTGAGGAAATTCTATTACAAATTTATTTATTTCTTTTGTAGTCATTGTTTTGTTTAGGCTTTTTATCCACATTAGGGTCAGTTTTGTTAAATTTATAATGTGAGCCATTTCATTTAGGCTTTTAGGTTGTTTGCAGAGAATTATACAAAATATTGTTTTTAAAAATAGACTTTATCATACTTCCCCTTGTCACTTCTGTTTTAGTATATTTGTCCTCTCTGTCTTTTGGCTGGCAAACAATGATCTCATTTGCTTATTTCTTAGTTCTATCATTACAAAATTTTCTACCTTATTAACTTCTGCTTTTATGTTGATCAATTCCATTTTTTTGCTTCTGTCCTGTTCAGGATAAAAGTCTGAAATAAGTCTTTGGGGCTAAAAATCAAGGTGTTGGCAGGTGGTGTTCCTTTTGTAGGCTTTATGGGAGAATCCATTTCTTTGCCTTTTCCAGCTTCTAGGTGCCATCTGCACTACTGGGCTCAGGGCCCTTCCTCCATCTTCAAAGTGTCTGTCATTCTGATCTCTACTTCTGTTGTCACATAGCCTTTTTCTGACTTGCATCCTCTTGCCTCACTCTTACTACACTCATCGGACATAGTACTAGATTCTGGGATACAAGGATGAGCAACAAAGTTTTCTGCTCCTATCGGGCTTATAATTCTGTATCCAATATATTGTACCAAGTCCTACATACTGGATTTACAAAGGTAAATGAACATATAGTCCAATCCCTCAAAAACCATTCTAGTCTAGGAAGAGTCAGACATGACCATAAATATCATAACATAGTGATAGAAGTTGAAGTTTCTTTAATTTGTTATAAACACGTAAAGAAAGAAACCTCCATATCTGTCTGGGAAAAGAGAGAGGGCTTCACAGAGGTGGTGTGGTTTTGGTAAGATATTTTAGGAAAGTGTGTGACGATATTGGGCCCACTCAGCTAACCAAGGAAAACCTCCCCATTTCAAGATCCTTAACTTAATCACATCTGCAAAATCCTTTCAGCAATGTAAGCGAACATATTCATAATTTTCAAGGATTCAGATCTGATCATTTTGGGAGATTATTCTTCAGTCTACCACAATGTGAAAATCTCTAAATAATTGCAGCAATACTTTTGAGAGAGAAATGTTTAGATAGCTGAGATCATATCTTAGCTAGAGAGGCAAGAACTGATAAAACCCTGGTTTGTTCAATAAATATTTATAGAGCGCCTACTTTATTCAGAGCCTGTAATACTGTTGAAGATACAAAAATTAAACCTTGGACATGGTCTTGGCCTCATTGAGCATATTTTGTATTAATAATTTTTAAAACTATCATAATAAGTTAAGCAATGAAGTGTGTGATACTCTATGATTGTAGAAGCTCTGGATACCATGGGGTATTTACCACAGTTAAAGACTCAGGCCTAAACGGGAAGGATTAGTAGTACAGATAAATAGGGAGAGAAAGATTATTCTAAGTACTGTGAACAGCATATGTAAAGGCTCAGGAGTGAGTAAGAAAGTACATATGGAGCTAAGGGATTATGAATATTATTAGAGCATAAGTATGCAAAAAGTGGGTAAAGAGTAGGTGAATTTCACAAGACTGGATAGGTATGCAAGGGCCAAATCATGGAGGGTTTTAAGAATTTGTAGTTTGGAAGATTTTTATTTATTTATTTATTTTACAAAAAGAACTTACAGGCTAACATTTAGATATAAAGAAGACTGGTCATAACCCTAAAGTCAATGGAAAGGAAGTGTTTTCAGCTGCAGAGAATGAACTGAGTTAGAACAGAGAGTAAGACATCAGGTAGGTGGATATTTGGAAAGTGTTGAAGGAATTCAGGTGAAAGACAGTGGTTGCCTGAGCTAAGGCAGTATTGGTTGGGATAGAAAATAGTGGTTGAATTTGAGAGGTTTTAATAAACAGAAATGTTAAAGATGTGGTTATGGACCAATGTGGAAGAAGAGTGTGACAGCAGAGGGTGAAGATATTCTGGGGACTCTAGCTAAAGCAATTGAGTGAATGCTTATACCACTTAGGGATCCCAGTGAGGCAGAAGATGCATGTCACCACATACCTTAGGATGGGTTATTGTCTCAAGAAGCTAGAGAGCCAGGACTGGGACAAGGATGAGGAAAGGCATTGCAATGAATGTGTTTGGGACCTGAAGAGGGGATATCTTGTCCGAGGAGCAATAAACATGAAAGGGCAGAGTAAGGATCTTAATACATATAATTTAATCTCAGAAATAGAAAATGATGGAATTTGAACTGGCCATAGACTTAGGAACATTTTCTCGACTTCTGTACTCACTTGTACAGCACAAGGAGGTACAGGAAATATTGCCTTTTGAAGTCTGATGCAAGGTTGCTGCTCAGGTCAGACTTCACACACACAAAAAATCTTATGTTAAAGATTCTGGAAAGGTCTTTTCTCTCCTCCTGTGAAAGGTTCTTTCTCAGCATAGGGTGGCGCCTCTTGTGGTTGGACACTCCTCCCTTTGAGACTGCCATTTTGTGAGGTGAGCACATGCCTGTGCAGTGCTGTGGAGTGACGGCACAAGGACACAGGGACATCTGAAAGGGCTTTGCAGATTTCAGAGCCAAAGGGAACTTCTGTTTTTTGCCGGGAAATATTTTCAACAGGGATATGTCTCTAATCAACAATGTCAATGTTAACTGAATAATGAATCAGCTCTAATTCCAACCCTGATTCTTGTAGAAACCAGTATGAAATTATGGCACATATCCTGAGAACTCCTTTCCTGTCTCTACAATCAGGTGTCTTGGAGTCTAGGTGACTTCAGCTTCTATGAGCTGGGGTTTATGAGCAGAGGGCACAGAAGATAGAAAGAAAGCTGAGGAGAGAGCCTGATGCTGAAGTGTCCGTGAAGGAACCTGGGCTGTGGCCAGGCAAACTCAGAATAAGAATTTCACAAATGTTTCCAAGACTCACTGCCCCCAGGAAACAAAAGTACATGCAGGGGAGGAATATCCAGCTATCGTGGAATGAAGAGGTCAGCAAAGCTCCCCATAAAGTAAGTATAAAACTCAAACAATTCTCATCAAAAGGCAGGAATTTTCTTTTTTCCTTAGGAGTACAAGCTATTTGTTTCCATACCAAGAGTAAATCACGTTTTCGTGGCTTTCTGTGGGCTGTGAACAGTAATTTGAATTGAAATTTTATGCAAACACTTGTTTAATGCACATTTCAGTATAAGCCAAAATTACTATAATTTTGTTACTACAAAAATTTTTATATTATACCACTATATAAGCTTAGTTGAAAGCTATCTCATTACTTTATTTACTTATTTAAAATTGACAAATACAAATTATATATATTTATGGTATACAATGTGATATTGTGACATTTTGATATATGTATACATTGTGGAATAATTAAATCAAGCTAATTAACATATGCATTACCTCACATACTTACCATTTGGTTTTGACTTCTTTTGGTAGGAACATTTAAAATCTACATTCTTAGCAATTTTCAAGAGTAAATATATTATTAACTATAGTAATCACGCTGCATAATAGATCTCTTGAACTTATTTCTGATTAAAACATGTACCTTTGACCAACATTTCCCTATTTCCCATGCCTCCCTTCCTCAAACCACATCCCAGTGCTTGGCAATTACCCTTCTACTCTCTGCTTCTGTGGGTTTGACTTTGTTGGATTCCATGAATAAGTGAGACCATGCATTATTTGTCTTTCTGTGCCTGGATTATTTCACTTAGCATAATGTCTCCATGTTGTTGCAAATTATATGATTTCCTTTTTCTGTATGGCTGAGTAGTATTCCATTTTTTTTGTGTGTGTGTGTGTGTATGTATATACATATACATATAGAGAATATATATATACATATACAGAATATAAGTCATATATTCTTCATCTAGTCATCCATTGGTGGAAACCTAGGTTAATTCTGTATTTTGGCTGTGTGAATAATGCTTCAAGGAATATAAGAGTGAATATATTTCTTCAACATACAGATTTCATATCCTTTGAATTTATATCTAGAACTGGAATTGCTAGATTATATGGTAGTTCTATTTTTAATTTTCTGAGGAACCTCCATACTGTTTGTCAAAATGGCTGTACTAATTTACATTCTGGGTTCTCTAAAGGGACAGAACTAATAAGATAGATGAAGAGGAGTTTATTAGAGAGTATTTACTCACACAAACACAAGGTAAAGTCCCACAATAGGTCTTCTGCAAGCTGAGGAGCCAGGAAGCCAGTCTGAGTCCCAAAACATCAAAAGTAGGGAAGTTGACAGTGCAGCCTTCAGTCTGTGGCCGAAGGTCCAAGAGCCCCTGGCAAATCACTGGTTTAAGTCCAAGAGTCCAAAAACTGAAGAACTTGGAATCCAATGTTTGAGAGCAGGAAGCATCCAGCATGGGAGAAAGATGAAGGCCAGAAGATTTAGCCAGTCTAGTCCTTCCACATTCTTCTACTTTTATTCTAGCCATGCTGGCAGCTGATTAGATTGTGCCCACCCAGATTGATGTATATTAAATGCTATAAAAACATATACAAAATATATATTCCTTCTATGTGTGTTTATATGTGTGTATGTATTTTTTATATTTATTCACACATATGTTTATCCTTTAAGGTGCTCTTAATTTCTTACTATGGATTTTAGTTACTAACAATGTCATTTTCTCTCAGCCTGATGACTTCCTTTAATATTTCTTGTAAGACAGGTCTGCTAACCACAAAATTCTGTAGCTTTTGCTTATCTGGGCATGTCTTTATTTCATTTTCATTTGTAGAGGATAGTTTTGCTGGATAGAGAATTTTGGGTGGAATTTTTTTTTTCTTTCAGTGCCTCTCCATTATCTTCTGATCTCCATTGTTTGTGATTTAAAGTCAGGTTAATTGTATTACTCTTCTCTTTCACATGATGAGTCATTTTTCTCTTGTTGAGAACAAATATTGATTTCAGTATATTATTTGTGGATTTTGGCTTTCTGAGGTTTAACTATAATGTATCTAGACATAGATATCTTTGTGTTTACTGTGTTTGAGAGATGTTAAGCTTCTAGGTTCTTTTGATTAATCTTTTTCACAACTTTGAGAAGTTTGTGGCCATTATTTTTTCTTTATCTTTCTCTCCCTTCTCTCTTTCTGAGACTCCAATTTTACACATGTGGGTATACTTGATGGTATCCCACAAATCTCTAAGTTTAGTTACTTTTAGTGTAGAAACCATGTGCCTGTACAGCACTGTGGAGTAAGTCCTGGAGCCTAACAACAGAGTCCCAAAATACATAAAGTAAAAATGACAGAAATGAAACAAAAATAAACATATCAAAATTATAGTTGGTGACTTAAATCCTCCAGTCTGAAAAATTGATCACACCAACTAGACAGAAAGTAAATAAGGGTAAAAGTGACCTGAAAAACACTACAAAACTATTTGACTTAATTGATGATTTTACAACACTGTATTCAGCAACAGCAGAATGTACGGTTTTTCAAGTGCTCATAGAGTATTTCCCCATATAGATTATATATTATATAATAACGTACAGATAAGAGGATTAAAATAATTCAAAGTATATTCTCTCATCACAGAGGGATTTAATTAGAAATAAACAACAGAAAGAAGCTGGAAAAATCACAAATATTTGAAAATTAAACACATCACACTCCTAAATAACTTGTGGGCTTCAGAAGGAATTTCTAGAGTAATTATGCTTTTAACTAAAAAACCAAAAATATATCGATGTACATGGAACGCAGCCATAATTAAAGGGAAATGTATAGCTTTAAATAACTACATTAGGAAAACAACCACAAAAGTTTCCATCATAATCTAAACTTCTACCTGAAGACACTGGAAAAATAAAAGTCAACCAAAAGTAAACATAAGGAAGAAATAATAAAGATCAAATTAAAAATCAATTCAATAGAGAATAGAAAAACAATAGAGAAAATCAATGGAACTACAACCTGGTTACTTGAAACGCTATAAAATTGATAACACTTTAGTCAGACTGAACAAGATAAAAAGCAAGAAAATAGAAATTGCAAAGTCAGGAGTGAAAATGAAGAATACAATTAGTAACCCTATAGAAACATATGGAAATGTTATGAACAACACTATGTCAATGAATTTGACAACTTGGATGAAGCAGACATATTCCTAGAAAGACATAAGAGTAACTGAGAAAAAAAGCCACATGTCTGGATAGACATATTACAAGTAAAGAAGTATTTTAGTAAATAACACCATACAGAGAAGAGGTCAGCAAAATTTTTCTGTAAGGAGCTAGGTAGTAAATATTTTGGGCCATATGCAACCTCTGTCAGTTCTTTTTCTCCTATTCCTCCTCTTCCGTCTTCTAACACTTTAAAAGTATAAAATTTATTCTTAGTTTATTTATGAGTCATACAAATATAGGCCATGGCTTGACTTTAACATGTGAGCAATAGTTTATCACTCCATGTCATAGAGAAAAGCTCAGGACTAGCTGACTTTACTGGTAAATCCCATCAGATATTTAAATAATAATACCACTCCTACAAAAAAAAAAACTTTCACAAAATAAAGAATAAGATTATTCCTAAATTCATCCCAGTTCAGTCCACAATTTCCTAATTCAGCCTAACAGGTCAGAATTACTTTGATACTAATAAAAGAAATCACAAGAAAACTACAAACTAGTATGTCTATGGTCTCCATAAAATATTAGCAAACCTCATTTAGCAATATATAAAACGATTATATACTATGACCAAGTGGGATTTATCCTGCCAGTGGAAGATTGGCTTGACATCCAAAATCAACTAACGTAATATACCATATTAATAGAATAAAAAACATATCATATTATCTCAGTGTATGCAATAAAATAAATTTGACAAAATAACCTGTACCCAATCATAATAAAATCTCAACAAATTATGAACAGACTGAACTTTCTCATCCTGATTAACGGCATGAAAAAACACTCACCTTAAACATGAAAGCTTCAAAAGACTGAATGCTTTGCCTATAATTTTGGTAGCAAAGTAACAATGTCTGTTTTCACTACTTTTATTCAACCTTGCACTGGAGATATCAGACAGTACAGTCAGATAAGAAATTGCAATAAAAGGCTTCCAGGTTGGAAAGGAAAAAGTAGAACTCTTTTTAATCTCCGACTACATGATCCTGTATGTAAGAAAAACAAAAACAAAAACAAAACTCCTGTGAAATCTACGAAGAAACTTCTATAACTAACAAATCCATTTAGCAAGATGTCAGGATACAGTATGTATAACAAAAATCATATGTGTTCTAATACTAGTAATAATCCAAAAGTGAAATTAAGAAAAATATTTTTATAGTTGCAGTATAGAAAATAGCACTTTGCAATATATTAAACAACAGAAATATAAGACCTATACATAGAAAAAATATAAAATGCTGAGATAAGTTTTAAAAGATGAAAAAGAATGGAAAAAACATTCCATGATCATGGAGGACTCAGTATTGTTAAGATAGAAATTATCTCCAAATTTATCAATAAGTACACGGCAATCCTTGTCAAAATTCTAGTAGTACCTTTTGTAGAGATTGACTAGCTGATCCTAAACCTATATGGTGATACCTAGGACTTGAATAGTCAAGGCAATTTTGAAAAAGAAAAACACAATTAAAAGACTTACACTAGCCAATTTTAAAACATACGATAAAGCTGCAATAATCAACAGAGTGTGGTATTAACATAAGATCAACATAGATTACGAACCTAGAAGATGCTCTCCTCTCAGAAGCTGCAGCCGTGATGGAAGTTTGAATGTTGAGCCGCTGTGAGGCGAGGCCGGGCTCAGGCGAGGGAGATGAGAGACAGAGACGGCGGCGGCGGCGGCGGCCCGGCCCGGCCCGGCCTGAAGCCCCTCTCAGCAACCCGTGAGCATCCGCGGGGGCGGCGCCGGCAGCGGCGGCGTTTCTCGCTTCTTCTTCGTCTTTTCTAACTGTGCAGCCTCTTCCTCGGCTTCTCCTGAAAGGGAAGGTGGAAGCCGTGGGCTTGGGCGGGAGCCGGCTGAGGCGCGGCGGCGGCGGCACCTCCCCCTCCTGGAGCGGGGGGAGAAGCGGCGGCGGCGGCGCCCCCGGTGGCCCCGGCGGCTGCAGCTCCAGGGAGGGGGTCTGAGTCGCCTGTCACCATTTCCAGGGCTGGGAACGCCGGAGAGTTGGTCTCTCCCCTTCTACTGCCTCCAACACGGCGGCGGCGGCGGCGGCGGCGGCGGCACATGGAGGGACCCGGGCCGGTTTTAAACCTCTCGTCCGCCGCCGCCGCACCCCCCGTGGCCCGGGCTCCGGAGGCCGCTGGAGGAGGCAGCCGTTCGGAGGATTATTCGTCTTCTCCCCATTCCGCTGCCGCCGCTGCCAGGCCTCTGGCTGCTGAGGAGAAGCAGGCCCAGTAGCTGCCACCATCCAGCAGCTGCTGCCGCAGCCATTACCCGGCTGCGGTCCAGAGCCAAGCAGCGGCTGAGCGAGGGGCATCAGCTACCGCCAAGTCCAGAGCCATTTCCATCCTGCAGAGCCCCGCCACCAGCAGCTTCTGCCATCTCTCTCCTCCTTTTTCTTCAGCCACAGGCTCCCAGACAGGACAGCCATCATCAAAGAGATCGTTAGCAGAAACAAAAGGAGATATCAAGAGGATGGATTCGACTTAGACTTGACCTATATTTATCTAAACATTATTGCTATGGGATTTCCTGCAGAAAGACTTGAAGGCGTATACAGGAACAATATTGATGATGTAGTAAGGTTTTTGGATTCAAAGCATAAAAACCATTACAAGATACACAATCTTTGTGCTGAAAGACATTATGACACCGCCAAATCTAATTACAGAGTTGCGCAATATCCTTTTGAAGACCATAACCCACCACAGCTAGAACTTATCAAACCCTTTTGTGAAGATCTTGACCAATGGCTAAGTGAAGATGACAATCATGTTGCAGCAATTCACTGTAAAGCTGGAAAGGGACGAACTGGTATAATGATTTATGCATATTTATTACATCGGGGCAAATTTTTAAAGGCACAAGAGGCCCTAGATTTCTATGGGGAAGTAAGGACCAGAGACAAAAAGGGAGTAACTATTCCCAGTCAGAGGCGCTATGTGTATTACTATAGCTACCTGGTAAAGAATCATGTGGATTATAGACCAGTGGCACTGTTGTTTCACAAGATGATGTTTGAAACTATTCCAATGTTCAGTGGCGGAACTTGCAATCCTCAGTTTGTGGTCTGCCAGCTAAAGGTGAAGATGTATTCCTCCAATTCAGGACCCACACGATGGGAGGACAAGTTCATGTATTTTGAGTTCCCTCAGCCGTTACCTGTGTGTGGTGATATCAAAGTAGAGTTCTTCCACAAACAGAACAAGATGCTAAAAAAGGACAAAATGTTTCACTTTTGGGTAAATACATTCTTCATACCAGGACCAGAGGAAACCTCAGAAAAAGTAGAAAATGGAAGTCTATGTGATCAAGAAATTGATAGCATTTGCAGTATAGAGCGTGCAGATAATGACAAGGAGTATCTAGTACTTACTTTAACAAAAAATGATCTTGACAAAGCAAATAAAGACAAAGCCAACCGATACTTTTCTCCAAATTTTAAGGTGAAGCTGTACTTCACAAAAACAGTAGAGGAGCCGTCAAATCCAGAGGCTAGCAGTTCAACTTCTGTAACACCAGATGTTAGTGACAATGAACCTGATCATTATAGATATTCTGACACCACTGACTCTGATCCAGAGAATGAACCTTTTGATGAAGATCAGCATACACAAATTACAAAAGTCTGAATTTTTTTTTATCAAGAGGGATAAAACACCATGAAAACAAACTTGAATAAACTGAAAAGGGACCTTTTTTTTTAATGGCAATAGGACATTGTGTCAGATTACCAGTTATAGAAACAATTCTCTTTTCGTGACCAATCTTGTTTTACCCTATACATCCACAGGGTTTTGACACTTGTTGTCCAGTTGAAAAAAGGTTGTGTAGCTGTGTCATGTATATACCTTTTTGTGTCAAAAGGACATTTAAAATTCAATTAGGATTAATAAAGATGGCACTTTCCCATTTTATTCCAGTTTTATAAAAAGTGGAGACAGACTGGTGTGTATACGTAGGAATTTTTTCCTTTTGTGTTCTGTCACCAACTGAAGTGGCTAAAGAGCTTTGTGATATACTGGTTCACATCATACCCCTTTGCACTTGTGGCAACAGATAAGTTTGCAGTTAGCTAAGAGAAGTTTCTGAAGGGTTTTGCTGCATTCTTGCATGTATTTGGGTTAGGGGAATGGAGGGAATGCTCAGAAAGGAAATAATTTTATGCTGGACTCTGGACCATATACCATCTCCAGCTATTTACACACACCTTTCTTTAGCATGCTACAGTTATTAATCTGGACATTCGAGGAATTGGCTGCTGTCACTGCTTGTTGTTTTCGCATTTTTTTAAAAGCATATTGGTGCTAGAAAAGGCAGCTAAAGGAAGTGAATCTGTATTGGGGTACAGGAATGAACCTTCTGCAACATCTTAAGATCCACAAATGAAGGGATATAAAAATAATGTCATAGATAAGAAACACAGCAACAATGACTTAACCATATAAATGTGGAGGCTATCAACAAAGAATGGGCTTGAAACATTATAAAAATTGACAATGATTTGTTAAATATGTTTTCTTAATTGTAACGACTTCTCCATCTCCTGTGTAATCAAGGCCAGTGCTGAAAGTCAGATGCTATTAGTACCTACATCAGTCAACAACTTACACTTATTTTACTAGTTTTCAATCATATACCTGCTGTGAATGCTTCATGTGCTGCCTGCAAGCTTCTTTTTTCTCATTAAATATAAAATATTTTGTAATGCTAAAAAAAAAAAAAAGAACATAGAAGACAAACATCAGAAATAAACCCATCCACTATGGTTAACTCATTTTTGAATATGGTGTAAAGTCAGTTTAATGATGAAATAATATTATTTTCAACAAATAGTACAGAAATTAAACTATGCAAAAATACTATTAATAATGATGTTGGATCATTACCTCACACCATACCCCCAAATTAACTCAGAACATGGCATACACCAAATATAAGAGCAAAAACTATGAAATTTCTAGAAGAAGACAGAAAAAAAATTATGACTTTGGCTTAGTTGTTTCTTAGAAGTAACAGGAAAAGCATAATTCATAAAAGATAAATTGAAAAATCGGACGTCATCAAAATAAAAAATGGTTTATCTTCAAAGTCACCTGTTAAGAAAATGAGAAGACAAATCATAAAGCAGGGAGAAATTTTTGAAAGTCATGTATCTGATAAGGGACAGTTAAAACTAAATAAAAACACAAACCATCCAATTAAAATGAATAAAGGGTTCGAATAGGTATGTCATCAGAGATCATATAGGAATAACCAATAAGCAAACAAAAGATGTTCAATATCATTAGTTATTAGAGAAACAAAATTTAAAAACCACAATGAGATGACACTACACATTTGCCAGAATGATGATTATTAAAAAAGACCAAGTATTGGAGAGGATGTGAAAAAACTGGAACCTCACACATTGACGATAGAAATGTAAAATGAAATAGCCAATTCAGAAAACATTTTACAAGTTTTCTTTGTTTTTGTTTTTAATTTATTATACCCTTACCCTATGACTCAGTAATTCCACTTCTAGATACCTACCAAATAAAATTAAAGTTTATAACTTCACAAAGATTTATTTATTTTATTTTTTATTTTATTATTATACTTTAAGTTCTAGGGTACATGTGCACAACATGCAGGTTTGTTACATATGTATACATGTGCCATGTTGGTTTGCTGCACCGATTAACTCGTCATTTACATTAGGTATTTCTGCTAATGCTATCCGTCCCCCACGCCCTCACTCCATGACAGGCCCCGGTGTGCAATGTTCCCCGCCCTGTGTCCAAGTGTTCTCACTGTTCAATTCCCACCTATGGGTGAGAATATACGGTGTTTGGTTTTCTGTCCTTGTGATAGTTTGCTCAGAATGATGGTTTCCAGCTTCATCCATGTCCCTACAAAGGACATGAACTCATCCTTTTTTATGGCTGCATAGTATTCCATGGTGTATATGTGCCACATCTTCTTAATCCAGTCTATCATTGATGGACATTTGGGTTGGTTCCAAGTCTTTGCTATTGTGAATAGTGCCACAATAAACATACATGTGCATGTGTCTTTATAGTAGCATGATTTGTAATCCTTTGGGTATATACCCAGTAATGGGATCACTGGTTCAAATGGTATTTCTAGTTCTAGATCCTTGAGGAATCGCCACACTGTCTTCCACAACAGTTGAACTAGTTTACAGTCCCACCAACAGTGTAAAAGTGTTTCTATTTCTCCACATCCTCTCTAGCATCTGTTGTTTCCTGACTTTTTATTGATTGCCATTCTAACTGGTTGTGAGATGGTATCTCATTGTGATTTTGATTTGCATTTCTCTGATGACTAGTGATGATAAGCATTTTTTCATGTGTCGTTGGCTGCATAAATGTCTTCTTTTGAAAAGTGTCTGTTCATATCCTTTGCCCACTTTTTGATGGGGTTCTTTGATTTTTTCTTGAAAATTTGTTTAAGTTCTTTGTAGATTCTGGATAACAGCCTTTTATCAGATGGGTAGATTGCAAAAATTCTCTCCCATTCTGTAGGTTGCCTGTTCACTCTGATGGTAGTTTCTTTTGCTGTGCAGAAGCTCTTTAGTTTAGTTAGATCCCATTTGTCTATTTTGGCTTTTGTTGCCATTGCTTTTGGTGTTTTAGTCATGAAGTCTGTGCCCATGCCTATGTCCTGAATGGTATTGCCTAGATTTTCTTCTAGAGTTTTTATGGTTTTAGGTCTAACATTTAAGTCTTTAATCCATCTTGAATTAATTTTTGTATAAGGTGTAAGGAAGGGATCCAGTTTCAGCTTTCTACATATGGCTAGCCAGTTTTCCCAGCACCATTTATTAAATAGGGAATCCTTTCCCCATTTCTTGTTTTTGTCAGGTTTGTCAAAGATCAGATGGTTATAGATGTGTGGTGTTCTTTCTGAGGCCTCTGTTCTGTTCCATTGGTCTATATCTCTGTTTTGATACCAGTACCATGCTGTTTTGGTTACTGTAGCCTTGTAGTATAGTTTGAAGTCAGGTAGCATGATGCCTCCAGGTTTGTTCTTTTTGCTTAGGATTGTCTTGGCAATGTGGGCTCTTTTTTGATTCCATATAAACTTTAAAGTAGTTTTTTCCAATTCTGTGAAGAAAGTCATTGGTAGCTTGATGGGGATGGCATTGAATCTATAAATTACCATGGGCAGCATGGTCATTTTCACGATATTGATTCTTCCTATCCATGAGCATGGAATGTTCTTCCATTTGTTTGAGTCCTCTTTTATTTCATTGAGCAGTGATTTGTGGTTCTCCTTGAAGAGATCCTTCACATCCCTTGTAAGTTGAATTCCCAGGTATTTTATTCTCTTTGTAGCAATTGTGAATGGGAGTTCACTCATGACTTGGCTCTCTGTCTATTCTTGGTGTATAGGAATGCTTGTGATTTTTGCATTTTGATTTTGTATCCCGAGACTTTGCTGAAGTTGCTTATCAACTTAAGGAGATTTTGGGCTGAGACAATGGGGTTTTCTAAATATACAATCATGTCATCTGCAAGCAGGGACAATTTGACTTCCTCTTTTCCTAATTAAGTACACTTTATTTCTTTCTCTTGCCTGATTGCCCTAGCCAGAACTTCCAACACTATGTTGAATAGGAGCGGTGAGAGAGGGCATCCCTGTCTTGTGCCAGTTTTCAAAGGGAATGCTTCCAGTTTTTGCCCATTCAGTATGATATTGGCTGTGGGTTTGTCATAATTAGCTCATTATTTTGAGATACATTCCATTTATACCTAGTTTATTGAGAGTTTTTAGCATGAAGAGCTGTTGAATTTTGTTGAAGGCCTTTTCTGCATCTATTGAAATAATCATGTGGTTTTTGTCTTTGGTTCTGTTTATGTGATGGATTATGTTTATTAATTTGCGTATGTTGAACCAGCCTTGCATGCCAGGGATGAAGCCCACTTGATCTTGGTGGATAAGCTTTTTGATGTGCTGCTGGATTTGGTTTGCCAGTATTTTACTGAGGATTTTCACATAGATGTTCATCAGGGATATTGGTCTAAAATTCTCTTTTTTTGTTGTGTGTCTGCCATGCTTTGGTATCAGGATGATGCTGGCCTCATAAAATGAGTTAGGGAAGATTCCCTCTTTTTCTATTGATTGGAATAGTTTCAGAAGGAATGGTACCAGCTCTTTGTACCTCTGGTAGAATTCGGCTGTGAATCCGTCTGGTCCTGGACTTTTTTTGGTTGGTAGGCTATTAATTATTGCCTCAATTTCAGACCCTGTTATTGGTCTATTCAGGTATTCAACTTCTTCCTGGTTTAGTCTTGGGAGGGTGTATGTGTCCAGGAATTTATCCATTTCTTCTAGATTTTCTAATTTATTTGCATAGAGGTGTTTATAGTATTCTCTGATGGTAGTTTGTATTTCTGTGGGATCAGTGGTGATAGCCCCTCTATCATTTTTTATTGCATCTATTTGGTTCTTCTCTCTTTTCTTCTTTATTAGGCTTGCTAGCGGTCTATCAGTTTTGTTGATCTTTTAAAAAAACCAGCTTCTGGAATCATCGATTTTTGTAAGGGTTTTTTGTGTCTCTAGCTCCTTCAGTTCTGCTCTGATCTTAGTTATTTCTTGCCTTCTGCTAGCTTTTGAATGTGTTTGCTCTTGCTTCTCTAGTTCTTTTAATTGTGATGTTAGGGTGTCAATTTTAGATCTTTCCTGCTTTCTCTTGTGGGCATTTAGTGCTATAAATTTCCCTCTACATACTGCTTTAAATGTGTCCCAGAAATTCTGGTACATTGTGTCTTTGTTTTCGTTGGTTTCAAAGAACATCTTTATTTCTGCCTTCATTTTGTTGTTTACCCAGTAGTCATTCAGGAGCAGGTTGTTCAGTTTCCATGTAGTTGTGCGGTTTTGAGTGAGTTTCTTAATCCTCAGTTTGAATTTGATTTCACTGTGGTCTGAGAGACAGTTTGTTATAATTTCTGTTCTTTTACATTTGCTGAGGAGTGCTTTACTTCCAACTATGTGGCCAATTTTGGAATAAGTGCAATGTGGTGCTGAGAAGAATGTATATTCTGTTGATTTGGGGTGGAGAGTTCTGTAGATGTCTATTAGGTCGGCTTAGTGCAGAGCTGAGTTCAAGTCCTGGATAACCTTGTTAACCTTCTGTCTCGTTGATCTGTCTAATATTGACAGTGGAGTGTTAAAGTCTCCCATTATTATTGTGTGGGAGTCTAAGTCTCTTTGTAGGTCTCTAAGGACTTGCTTTATGAATCTGGGTGCTCCTGTATTGGGTGCATGTATATTTAGGATAGTTAGCTCTTCTTGTTGAATTGATCCCTTTACCATTATGTAATGGCCTTCTTTGTCTCTTTTGATCTTTGTTGGTTTAAAGTCTGTTTTATCAGAGACTAGGATTGCAACCCCTGCTTTTTTTTTGCTTTCTGTTTGCTTGGTAGATCTTCCTGCATCCCTTTATTTTGAGCCTATGTGTGTCTCTGCACGTGAGATGGGTCTCCTGAATACAGCACACTGATGGGCCTTGACTCTTTATCCAATTTGCCAGTCTGTGTCTTTTAATTGGGGCATTTAGCCCATTTACATTTAAGGTTAATATTGTTATGTGTTAATTTGATCTTGTCATTATGGTGTTAGCTGGTTATTTTGCCCATTAGTTGATGCAGTTTCTTCCTAGCATCGACGGTCTTTATAATTTGGCATGTTTTTGCAGTGGCTGGTACCAGTTGTTCCTTTCCATGTTTAGTGCTTCCTTCAGGAGCTCTTTTAGGGCAGGCCTGGTGGTGACAAAATCTCTCAGCATTTGCTTGTCTGTAAAGAATTTTATGTCTCCTTCACTTATGAAGCTTAGTTTGGCTGGATATGAAATTCTGGGTTGAAAATTCTTTTCTTTAAGAATGTTGAATATTGGCCCCCACTCTCTTCTGGCTTGTAGAGTTTCTGCCGAGAGATCCGCTGTTAGTCTGATGGGCTTCCCTTTGTGGGTAACCCAACCTTTCTCTCTGGCTGCCCTTAACATTTTTTCCTTCATTTCAACCTTGGTGAATCTGACAATTATGTGTCTTGGGGATGCTTTTCTCGAGGACTATCTTTGTGGTGTTCTCTGTATTTCCTGAATTTGAATGTTGGCCTGCTTTGCTAGGTTGAGGAAGTCCTGAATAATATCCTGAAGAGTGTTTTCCAACTTGGTTCCATTCTCCCTGTCACTTTCAGGTACACCAATCAGACATAGATGTGGTCTTTTCACATAGTCCCATATTTATTGGAGGCTTTGTTTCTTTTTACTCTTTTTTCTCTAAGCTTCTCTTCTTGCTTTATTTCATTAATTTGATCTTCAATCACTGATACCCTTTCTTCCACTTGATCGAATCAGCTACTGAAGCTTGTGCATGCGTCACGTAGTTCTTGTGCCATGGTTTTCAGTCCATCAGGTCCTTTAAGGTCTTCTCTGCACTGTTTATTCTAGTTAGCTATTCGTCTAATCTTTCTTCAAGGTTTTTAGCTTCCTTGTGATGGGTTTGAGCGTCTTCCTTTAGCTCGGAGAAGTTTGTTATTACTGACCTTCTGAAGCCTACTTCTGGCAACTCATCAAAGTCATTCTCCATCCAGCTTTGTTCTGTTGCTGGTGAGGAGCTGTGATCCTTTGGAGGAGAAGAGGCACTCTGGTTTTTAGAATTTTCAGCTTTTCTGCTCTGGTTTCTCCCCATCTTTTTTTTTTTTTTTTAATTGATTATTCTTGGGTGTTTCTCGCAGAGGGGGATTTGGCAGGGTCGTAGGACAATAGTGGAGGGAAAGTCAGCAGATAAACAAGTGAACAAAGGTCTCTGGTTTTCCTAGGCAGAGGACCCTGGGGCCTTCCGCAGTGTTTGTGTCTCTGGGTACTTGAGATTAGGGAGTGGTGATGACTCTTAAGGAGCATGCTGCCTTCAAGCGTCTGTTTAACAAAGCACATCTTGCACCACCCTTAATCCATTTAACCCTGAGTGGACACAGCACATGTTTCAGAGAGCACGGGTTGGGGGTAAGGTCATAGATCAACAGCATCCCAAGGCAGAAGAATTTTTCTTAGTACAGAACAAAATGGAGTCTCCTATGTCTACTTCTTTCTACACAGACACAGGAACAATCTGATTTCTCTATCTTTTCCCCACATTTCCCCCTTTTCTATTTGACAAAACCGCCATCATCATCATGGCCCATTCTCAATGAGCTGTTGGGTACACCTCCCAGATGGGGTGGCGGCCGGACAGAGGGGCTCCTCACTTCTCAGACGGGGTAGCTGCCGGGCAGAGGGGCTCCTCACTTCTCAGACGGGGCAGCTGCCGGGCAGAGGCACTCCTCACATCCCAGATGGGGCAGTGGGGCAGAGGCGCTCCCCACATCTCAGACGATGGGCGGCCGGGCAGAGACGCTCCTCACTTCCTAGACGGGTTGGCGGCCGGGAAGAGGCGCTCCTCACTTCCCAGACTGGGCAGCGGGGCAGAGGGGCTCCTCACATCCCAGACTATGGGCGGCCAGGCAGAGACGCTCCTCACTTCCCAGACGGGGTGGCGGCCGGGCAGAGGCTGCAATCTTGGCACTTAGGGAGGCCAAGGCAGGCGGCTGGAAGGTGGAGGTTGTAGCGAGCCGAGATCAGGCCACTGCACTCCAGCCTGGGCAACATTGAGCACTGAGTGAACGAGACTCCATCTGCAATCCCGGCACCTCGGGAGGCCAAGGCTGGCAGATCACTCGCAGTTAGGAGCTGGAGACCAGCCCGGCCAACACAGTGAAACCCCGTCTCCACCAAAAAAATACGAAAACCAGTCAGACATGGCGGCGTGCGCCTGCAATCGCAGGCACTAGGCAGGCTGAGGCAGGAGAATCAGGCAGGGAGGTTGCAGTGAGCAGAGATGGCGGCAGTACAGTCCAGCTTCAGCTCAGCATCAGAGGGAGACCGTGGAAAGAGAGGGAGAGGGAGACCATGGGGAGAGGGAGAGGGAGAGGGAGACCGTGGGGAGAGGGAGAGGGATAGGGAGCTTTTTGGTTTTATCTACCTTTGGTCTTTGATTATGGTGACCTACAGATGGGGTTTTGGTGTGGATGTCCTTTTGTTGATGTTGATGCTATTCCTTTCTGTTTGTTAGTTTTCCTTCTAACAGTCAGGTCCCTCAGCTGCAGGTCTGTTGGAATTTGGTAGAGGTCCACTCCAGACCCTGTTTCCTGGGTATCACCAGTGGAGGCTGCAGAGCAGCAAATATTGCAGAACAGCAAATATTGCTGCCTGATTTTTCCTCTGGAAGCTTTGTCCCAGAGGGGCACCCAGCTGAATGAGGTGTCAGTTGGCCCCTACTGGGAGGTGTCTCCCTGTTAGGCTACACAGGAGTCAAGGACCCACTTGAGGAGGCAGTCTGTCTGTTCTCAGAGCTCAAACACCGTGCTGTGAGAATTACTGCTCTCTTTGGAGCTGTCAGACAGGGATGTTTAAGTCTGCAGAGGTTTCTGCTGCCTTTTGTTCAGCTATGCCTTGCCCCCGGTGGTGGAATCTACAGAGGCAGGCAGGCCTTGTTGAGCTGCGGTGGGCTTCACCCAGTTCGAGCTTCCCCAGCCACTTTGTTTACCTATTCAAGCCTCAGCAATGGTGGAGGCCCCTCCCCCAGCCAGGCTGCCACCTCACAGTTCGATCTTGGACTGCTGCACTAGCAGTGAGCAAGGCTTTGTGGGCATGGGACCCACCGAGCCAGGCGTGGGATGTAATCTCCTGGTGTGCTGTTTCCTAAGACCGTTGAAAAAGCCCAGTATTTGAATGACAGTGTCCTGATTTTCGGTATAGTCTGTCATGGCTTCCCTTGGCTAGGAAAGGGAACTCCCCCGACCCCTTGTGCTTCCTGGGTGAGGTGATGCCCCGCCCTGGTTCAGCTCACCCTCCATGGGCCACACCCACTGTCCAATCAGTCCCATTGAGATGAACCAGGTACCTCAGTTGGAAATGCAGAAATCACCTGTCTTCTGCATTGATCACGCTGGGAACTGCAGACCAGAGCTGTTCCTATTCGGCCATTTTGGAATGGACCAACAAGATTTATATGAGAACATTTATAGTGGCATTATTCATAATAGGTTAACAACTGGAGCAATCCAAATGTCCAAAAATTGATGAGTGGATACATAAAATATGCTATATCCATAGAATGAAAAAATTTTCTGCAACAAATATGTAGCAAATAACTAAAATATGCTACAACATGAATGAACACCTCAAATGTTAGGCAAACTTAAAGGAGTCAGAAACAAAGACTGCATATTGTAATATTCTGTTTTTATAAATTTTTCAGAAAAATCAAATCTATGGGCCGGGCATGGTGGCTCAAGCCTGTAATCCCAGCACTTTGGGAGGCCGAAGCAGGCAGATCATGAGGTCAGGAGATTGAGACCATCCTGGCTAACATAGTGAAACCCTGTCTCTACTAAAAATACAAAAAAATTAGCCAGGTGTGGTGGTGGGCACCTGTAGTCCCAGCTACTTGGGAGGTTGAGGCAGGAGAATGGCGTGAACCAGTGAGCAGAGATCATGCCACTGTGCTCCAGCCTGGGCAACAGAGCAAGACTCCATCTCAAAAGAAAAAAAAAATCAAATCTATGGAGGCAAAGAATAGATAGGGGGCTGCCTGGGGTGGGGAACCTCAGAGAATAACTGCTAAAGGGCAGAAAGGATCTCCTGGGGGCAATGTGAATGTTTTAAAGTATTTTGAGATGCTTGTAAAACTCAATAAATTTACTATAAATCATTAAACTGTACCTTACAGAGAGTGAATTTTATGGCATTTAAATTATACTTCAATAAATCTATAAAACTGAGCAATAGCTGCTATTTTTATAATAAAGCAAGACCAGGTTTGCTCATATATAAGTAATATCTATTAACATAAACATGTCACTTATTTCTTTACTCTGAACCCCACAATTCACGTGGCATCTTTCCAGGAAGCATTCATCATGATCTGTTCCAGGGTCAAAGCTAGAACTTCCTCCCATCAGAGAACGAGGAGGATTGCACTGGATCAGCTTCCAGCATGACATCCAAAAATACCCAGCAGGGGTGACATCCATCCCCACTCAGAGACTTTGATTTGTTTTGTTTCTGTCTGATTTATACCATGTGACCATTCTTAATCAAAATGCCCCAGGAAAACCATGCACCAAAAAGAGATATATCCTAGAAAATAAGGAGGATGGTGATGAAGAGACCCTCCCACACCACTAGTTGGAGGACAGGAATAAACTGAAGCAGATGAAGACTTCTTGTGTTAGCATAGTGATTAATGAGATGCTGGAGTAGGAGTCAGCCCTGTAGACAAGAAGTGCGGACTTCAGAGATAGAGGGACAGCAGGTACAGGATCTCAGATGGGTAAGAGAACATGGACTATAGAAAATGGTCAGAAGTTCAGGATTGCCAGGATGAAAAATAGCTGGGATAAGGTGTTCAAGATAAGCTAATTTCTGGAGTCCAGATCACAAAATACCATTAAGCCAGGTGAAGAAATTTAAATTTTATCTTGAATATGAAGGAGAAGCATGGAGAAATGGTGAGGGGATCCAGTAGCATGATCACATTTGTCTACAGTTATCCCTCAGTATCTTGGGGAATTGGTTCCAAGACCTCCCAAGGATAACAAAATCTACAAATGCCCAAGTCCCAGATAAAAAATGTTATAGTATTTGCATATAATCTTTGCATATACTCCCAAATACTTTAAGTCATCTGTAAATAATTCATAGTACCAAATACAATACAAAGTTATGTAAATAGTTGTTATACTGTATTGTTTAGAATAATGACAAGGAAAAAAGTCTGTATGTGTTCAGTATAGACACAATTTTTGAAAAAAATATTTTTGATCTGTGGTTGGTTGAATCCAGGGATGTGGAACTTGTGAATACAGAGGGCCAACTCTCTGATGCATATCACTTTTGCAAGAAGGCCAGAAGGGTAAGGCATGAGGCTAAGAGTTCAGTAAGCAAGGGTTTTTAATCTTCTAGGTGTTTGCTAAGGACACCTGACCATTGGAGATGAGCCTCCCAAGATAGATGATGGTGTCTCCAAAAGAGGACATGGTATTGGGAGGATGATGAACTCTCTGTTGGGGACAAGTTGAGTTGAGGAGCCTATGAAATATAGAGATGGAAATATCTAGTAGGCAGCTAGAGAATAAGTTTGAAACTAATGAGATATATACTTCAAGTAATAAATTAGATGATATTGTCTAAGATGTATGCATAGGTTAAGAGGAAAAGAATAAAAAGCCCAGAAATAAGGACAAAGTAAGGAAAATGAGAATAGAAAGAGCCCACAAAGAAGAGTGAGGAATGGCTAGTATTGTAGAATACAAACAGAAAAGAAGAATGAACAAGCAATGACTTTTACAATAAAATATGTATTATGTTTTCTAGATTCTTTTCTAACATATTAAAGCTACTTTTTAAGGAGGCAAAACCAGGACAGAGACTCTGTGACTTTACTTTTTGGTAACCTCAAAACAGAAGTTTCACATCTGAGCTCAGCACCCAGGGCCCCACAGTAGTCTGTGCTTTTGTGAAAAATAAATCAATCTATTCAAGGTCCCAGGTCTGATCTCATGTGGATAGAGAACACTTCCCTGAGATTCAGCATATCCAAGAGAGAAGAATCATCTATCTGTAGGATAGTCTCCCACTGGTAAGGGTAGTCTCCAAAGAGATTTAGGGCTGAATCCAGGGACATTGTTGAAGACTATTCTTTTCCAAAGTTGGAGCCTTTTCTCTTCCTTAGGCCTCATGCAGATTTAGCTCAAATTACATTTATTTAGAGGGAGATTAGTGAAAATAATCATTAATCACTTATTTCAAGTGAAAATAAAAATTTATTCCAAGTTCAAAGTCATAGAGAGGAACTGAAGTCATCAGGTGCAGGACTGGGGTCAGGAAAGGGCAAGGACTTTGTGTGGCTGTGTATGAAGGAACGAGTTTAACATGAGGAAGGAACCATGAACCAGAGATAAAGAAAGCCTGTGCAGAAAGTTAAAGGATCCTTTTCCTGTTTCTTAGCTGACAAAGACTTTCTTCAGCTAGCCATAAGGCAACTGTCAAATATCATCACATTTATCTTGAAGGATAAAATTTGTGCAAGCTCAATTGAACAGCAAGAACTAGATGCAAGGAAGAAGTCAGCCAGGATGACTGTGGGGCTGGGTCATTTCTCAGCTTGTTAGAGACTGAGCCAGAGATAGTCTTTAGTCCAGACTGTTACTTAAAGCACACTGGTCCCTCAAGGCTGAGGAGTCTGGGAAGATTTGCAGGGGTTTCTGTAGTTTAAGATAAGGTTTCTGAAGGCAAGATGTCCTCACCTTAGAGGCGACCCTTTCTGTGCAGAGTGTCGGTATCTATGTAGCACTGTGTATTCACTGCTGGCACAGAGGTACTGAGAGGTATGTGAGGGGCTGGCAGACTCCAGGGTCAGGGGAAAACGCTCTATCCTTATTCTGGAGACTGTTGACTCAGAGCAAAGATCTCCCTTCTCTGTGGAATTAACCCATAGGAATGGTGGATGAGGTGTAATTCCATTCCTGGATCTTGACCAGTACATTTTGTCATGGCCCATGGTTTGAGAACATTCCAGAGTGATCTTCTTTCCTGCCCCTATAACACGGTGTCTTGGGGTCTGGTAGATTTCAGCTTCCTTAAGGCCTATGGGAAGAGACAAAAACTGGCAACAGAGTTCATGATGAACTTTGAGGCTGAGCCATGCACAAACCCAACACAGAGGAAGTGTTCCTTCTAGATTTTGGAATGAACTGTGCCTATTACTTACCTGCCTCCAGAAAATAAAAGGCCACTTGGCGGAGGAACCTGATAGTCATGGCACAGTTGGGGCTACAGAGGATGTCTCCCAGTAGTGGGGAGGCAGGATGGGCTCTTGATAAAGTCATTGTGTGTGTGTGATGACACAGCCCCTGCAAACTTCCTGGGTCCCACAGCCATCCTGTTGAAACAGTTTCATCTATATCCTTTTAACCCATCAAATGACTAATATTTTTGTTCACTTCCCTCATCCAAAGTAGGCTTCATGCTTTGCTTAACTCAAGTCTTTAATATTCTTATAAAATATTCCATTGCAACTGTTTTATAAGCTATGAGCATAAAAACTACATAGCTTTGAATGCCTATAATAGCGGGATTTTACCTAATTAAAAAGATTGGGAAAGGAAGTGGCATTTGAGTTGAGTTCTGAAGGATGAACAGGAATGAACTCTGCAAACCCAAGAGAGAAGAACATGCAGAAGAGAGAACCAGTGAACAGCGTGGCTTGATCAGACAAGGAGCAAGAGAACTTGTTAGCATTAAATGGGGCAATCTATATAGACACATGTAAAGAGCTTGGAGCAGTAACTGGGATTCACTGAGTCCTCAGAAAATATGGTGTTATTATTGTGTGATAATAACTTTCTCAGTCTCATTTTTCATTGACTTGGTGTTCAGCCTTTATCAGCTTAATCAACTTAGCCTTTGCCTAGGATGATTTTAGTCCATCTGCCTTTTAATTTCACCATCAATCATGACAGAACAGAAAATACAATCCAATACATGCTTTGGTAATACTGCTAAAAATGGTTTGGGTGCTGCTGCGGTAAACAATGTCTAAACCAAGTGTCATTTTCCCTCCGCCCTTTCCCCCATTTCTTCTTAACAGAAAAGCCTTTGGTTTTGATTGTGAAATACAAAGATTAATCCCAGAATTTCTCCCAGCTTTGTCCACTTCCTTTGCCCTAGTTCATTGAGATTTACAGTTGGTATTTACTAAAATTTTTGTTCACACGATGCTGACATGGGGTTTGGGTTTTTATGATTATATCTCTACTATTTGAACACCATGTCTTCAAGTCTGTATGTACTTACATATAACACATGTGGGCCCCTGCTCACTCTTCCTCTGTCATGTGTCACGAAGGAATGTAACAGTTTTGATTTACCAAACCCTGAAATACTCTTGTCCTATCAGTGGCTCCTTTAAGACAAAAGTAACCATTAAAATAATTAATGAGATTTGGCCTTAGACCTTAGTATGAGATCTGGTCTTAATAGTAAGTGCTGAGAACAGCACTTTTTCAGCCCCCTGCTGAAAAAAAAGATATTAGAGGTTTGGGGAGATTCTGACAAATTTTAAAGAAACAGGAAAGCGGAAGGCTCCCAGTTTTTCTCAATGTGAGATGACTTAAGGATGAGTGATGAGTTGATGGAAGTCTTCGGCAGTGACTGGATTTAAATCTATACCTCACAGTAGAAGCAACTAAGAAAGGAAAGAAGAGAAGTTCTCAACCTGGGCTTGGAAGTAGATATGAGAGAGTCTCAGGTCCTAGTCAGATGAAGGGGTACTCGAAGGCAGAGGTAACTGTCTACTCACTCCTTGCTGCCCAGTGCAGGAATAGCTCATGCATAGCTTGCCTTTTATTGATGAAAACACTTTCCCCAAAGACTACCTTTCTGGTTTAGATAGGGAAGTCTCTGGAGAAGGTGCTGGGAATTGCTAAGTGTGAATAATTACAGAGACAGACATTATTATTTATAATCCTTGTATATATCTCTATACATTTTTGTTCTAGTAAAACACCCTTTCTCAATGGAGCCTTCTTGATTCTCAGGACATGGTGGTCCTTCCAGTGTTCATGAAGTTTGCATAGGGAAGAGATACCAAGAAAGACAAGAGATAAAATGCAGTCTTAATATTCAGCCAGGAGGGAAAGATCTGGAACCAGAATGTGGCAATGCTAAATTAAGACTTCATATGATGGCAAAGGACTCACCTGTCTTCAGATGAGGCACAAGGGAGAAAGACTGAGGGTTCTGGTTTCCCAAATAGTGATAAACATCTCCTAGCTCAGGGCTCTGGGACCACATGGAAGTAGGATTACCTCTGAGGTTTCATTTCCCATGCCAAGAATAGCCTGTGTCATCACAGTTCCTGTTTTCACAGAATAGAGTTTGATTCCAGAGAATCACAGACACTGACTATAGGGGATGTGTGTTGAGCTTTTATGCAGTGTCTTATGTCTGAATCCCAGAGCAAGGGCTTTTTATGAGCTTCAGCACCATGTTCTCAACCCAGTGGTCCCTCGGTATTCATGGGGGATTAGTTTAAATCCACTGATGCTTAAATCTCTTATATAAAATGGCATAGTATTTGCATATAACCTAGGCACATCCTCCTGTATACTTTAAATCAACTCTAGATTACTTTTAATAGCTAATACAATGTAAATGCCATGTAAATAGTTGGTATACCTCACTGTTTTAAATTTTGTATTTTTATTGTTGTGTTGTTATTTTGTAATTTTTAAAATATATTTTTCATCTGAGGTTGACTAAATCTGCAAATGAGGACCCCATTGATACAGAGTGCCAACTGTGTACTCTACCAGCATTTGGAAGTTCCAAAGACCCTCAAATACAGCATGCATAATTCATTCCCCTCCTTCCAACTCTGCTTCTTTGCCTCTAATACTAAAACTAGGACTCCAGCCATAAACTTAACTTATTAAATATTCTGATTAGAATATATTATAGACTCACTTCAATATATGAGTATATAAATGTGTGTTAACAATTAAAACAGAAATATTTCATATATTTTCATATGTATACATCCCCCTTTGCATGTCTTCTTTTTCAAAACTCAGATTCCATTAGGAAAACAGCTTTGATTTCCCCGAACATTCTCCCATGTATGTTTGGGATTATGTCACTTCACTCTATTTCTCAATCATGTAGTACCATCAGATATTAATATCAGATAATAATTGCTACATAAGTCTCTATACATTTTTTGTCCAGTAAAACCCCCTCTTTTTCCAGCCTTCTCTTAACCAAACATATTTTCTTTGTTCTAAAGAGACTTGTAGATGGGAGGTGTGGAGGACTTAAATACACATGTACCAGACCTGGATTGCTCCGGTCTGAACTCAGATCACGTAGGACTTTAATCATTGGACAAACGAACCCTTGACAGCAGCTACACCATTAGGATGTCCTGATCCAACATCGAGGTCGTAAACCCTATTGTCGATATGGACTCTAGAATAGGATTGCGCTGTTATCTCTAGGGTAACTTGTTCCGTTGATCAAATTATTGGGTCAATATATGTATAGTAATTCACGTAAACTTGTTTAGTCTTAGCATAGGTTGCTCGGAGGTTAAATTATGCTCCGAGGTCACCTCAACCAAAATTTTTAATGCAGGGACAGTAGTTTAAGGCCTGTGGGCTTATTTGAGCTTTGTTTGCATTAATAAATTAAAGCTCCATAGGGTCTTCTCGTCTTATTTATTCATGTTTGCCTGTTCATGGGCAGGTCAGTTTCACTGGTTGGAAGTAAGAGACAGCTGAACCCTCATGGAGCCATTCATACAAGTCCCTATTTAAGGAACAAGTGATTATGCTACCTTTGCACGCTCAGGGTACTGTGGCTGTTGAACATATGTCACTGGGCAGGCAGCGCCTCTAATACTAATAATGCTAGAGGTGATGTTTTTGGTAAACAGGCAGGGTAAAATTTGCCGAGTTCCCTTTCTTTTTTAACCTTTCCTTAGAGCATGCCTGTGTTGGATTAACAGTATAGGTAATAATAAATTTGTTGGGTTGATTATTAATATTAGGCTGTTAATTGTCAGTGGGTTATTCTGGTCTGATGTAGGCTTGTGCAGTGGAGAATATTTTCATGTTGCTTATATTAATATTATTGCTTCTATAAAGTAATAGATTAGTCCAATGTGGTGTTAGGAGTTCAGTGGTGTGATTAGAATTTAGAGTGGTTGGATGTTGATCTTGAACGCTTTGTTAATTGATGGCTGCTTTTGGGCCGACTATGGGGATAACGTTTTTTACTCTCTACATGAAGGTTGTTTCCTAATGTCTAAAGAGCTGTCCCTCTTTAGACTAACAGTTAAATTTACAGGGGGATTAAGTGGCTCTGTAGGTAAATTTAAAGTTGAACTAAGATTCTATCTTGGACAACCGCTATCACCAGGCTTGGGAGGCGTATCACTGCTGCTCATGAATCTCCCCACTATTTTACTACATAGATGGGTGTGCTCTTTTCGCTGTTCTTGGGTAGCTCGTCTGGTTTTAGGGGCCTTGGCTTTGGTTCTCTATGTAAAGATATTTCTAGTTAATTCATTATGCAGAAGGTATAAGGGTCTATTTTTGCTATTTATGCTTGGTTAACTTTTTCATCTTTACCTTATGGTACTATGTCTATTGCGCCAGGGTAAAATTTCTATCGCCTATACTTTTGTTTGGGTAAATGGTTTGATTAAGGTTATTCAGTAGTACTATTAGTTAAGTTTAGGGCTGGAGTTGGCTCAAGGTGGTCAAATTATGGTGAAATCTTCCGGGTGTAAGCCAGATGCTTTGTGTTAAGCTACACCTTGGTTCATCCAAGTGCACTTTCTAGTACACTTACCATGTTACGACTTGTCTCCTCTATATAAATAAGTAGGGGTTTTAGTTAAACTAATCTCTAAAGTAATATTTGAGGAGGGTGACGGGCATTGTGTGCGTGCTTTATGGCCTCATTCAATTAAGCACTCTGCTCTTAATGTACTGCTAAATCCTCCTTGAGCCCTTAGATTTCATAAGGGTTGTCGTGAGATTTTCTGGGTGTAGAAAATGTAGCCCATTTCTTACCACCGTGGGCTACACATTGACCCAGCATTTTTACGTAGATACTTGTGCTTACTTTGCAGCCTTTGCTAGGGTTTGCTGAAGACAGTGGTATATAGGCTGAGCAAGAGGTGGTGAGGCAAATTGGGTTTTATCCATTATAGAACAGGCTCCTCTAGAGGGATATAAAGCACCGCCAAGTCCTTTGAGTTTTAAGCTATTGCTTGTAGTGTTCTGGTGAATAGTTCTGTTGATTTAACTATTGGAGTTTAGGGCTAAGCGTATTGGGGGGTATATAATCCCAGTTTGGGTCTCAGCTATTGTGTCTTCAGAAGTATTAAAGCCTCCTTCGTAGTTTATTTTATTTCAGCTAGGGTTTTTTACAACCTAGATGACGCTTAGCGTTGTTAAGGATAGATCTAAAACACTCTTTATGCCGAGTTCTATTAGCTCAGGTTAATTGTATGGCCGCGGTGGCTGGCATGAAATTAACCAACCCTGGATATTAGTATAGCTTAGTTAAACTTTTGTTTATTGCTAAAGATCTATCACTGCTGTTTCCCGTGGGGGTGTGGCTGGGCAAAGTGTTTTGAGCTGCATTTGTGCATGCTTGATACTTACTTCTTTTGATCAAGGTGATTTAGAGGGTACTTTCACTGGGATGGGGATGCTTGCATGTGTAATCTTACTAAGAGTTAATAGAAAGGCCAGGACCAAACCTGTCTGTTTACGGGGCTGTATAAGCCCATCTAGACATTTTCAGTGTCTTGCTTTAAATAATTAAGCTACATTAACTGTATATATGTTAAGTGCAAAATTGGAGTATAGAAGAAGATACAAGCAATATTCACAGTTGTAGGGTTCAGGGATTTAAAGTTGAGTTAGCAGGAGTTGGTGGAGTAGATGTTAGTACTGGCGAGTGGTTGGTGTAGTACGAAGTCACAGGTTTTTTGGGGTGTGTAAATTTAGGGTATGGGCTTAGTAATGGATGGGCATGCATATTAGATATAATTGTTGTAAAAGTAGAATTACATTGGTGGGGGCTTAGTTTCTTTAAAAAATTTGCATTAGTTGAGGGGTAGCTGTTGGGGATAACCAAAGCTAAAATACAAATATTTTGGGGTCTGGCAGAGTTGAATTAAGGCTTACTTGTTTTTGGAGTTTGGCAAGGTGTCTTTTTTCCTGGGTTGATGGAGTCAGAGATGGGGGAGGGGGCATTGCAGATTTTTATTTTAAAAGTCCAATAAGGGGAGCGGTTGTGTGTGTTTGTCTATTAATTACTGTTATGTCCTTCAAGTATGAATTAATTAGCACCTTAGGGTGGTTACGCCCAGTTGGAATATTGAATTTAGGCACAGCTAATATAGGTGATTGGTAGGAATCAAAGACAAGTCCGGCTGCAGGTGATGGGGAGGGGACCAGGCCTTCTGTGATGTGATAGCATACCCGAAAACTAAAATACCAAATGCATGGCAGTGCTCCTGTGACTGGTTAATAGGGTGATAGTCACTGGTCCATCGAGATGTCTACTCTTAACTAAAGAATATATAGCCTTGTGAAGAGCCAGTATAAAAAGAAAACCAGCACAAGACAAAGATACCCTCTTTCACCATTCCTATTCAACATAGTAGTGGGAGTCCTGGTCAGGGCAATCAGGCAGAAGGAAGAAATAGACATCCATATAGGAAGAGAGGAAGTCAAACTATCCCTATTTGCAGATCATGGTCCTATATCTAGAAAACCCCATAGTCTCTGCCCTAAAGCTGCTTGATCTGATAAACAACTTCAGCAGTTTTAAAATACAAAATCAACATTAAGAAATTGGCATTCCAATACACTAAAAACATACAAGCTAAGAGCCAAGTCAGGAACATAATTCCATTCATAATTGCCACACACAACAAATATCTAGGAATACAGCTAACCAGAGAAGTGAAAGATCTCTACAACAAGAATTACAAAACACTGCTCAAAGAAATCAGAGACGACACAAACAAATGGAAAAACATTCTATGCACATGGATAGGAAGAAGCAATATCATTAAAATGGCCATACTGCCCAAAGCAATATAGATTCGATGGTATTAGGTTGGTGCAAAAGTAATTGTGGTTTTGGTGAATTTTAAATCATTATAACTAGGCTCAAGCACATCTTTATTAATCAGAATAGGAACCATTACAATCAACACATTTTTTGCCAATGAGAAATAAGTTTGTTTATTCCTGTAGCATAAAAATCTATGCTTTAGAATTCAACGAACTCTTGGAAAGTATTTTCTGCATCTTGTTGGCTGTGGAAGCATTTTCCCTGCAAAAAGTTGACAAGATGCTTGAAGAAGTGGTAGTTGGTTGGTGAGAGGTCAGGTGAATATGGTAGATGAGGCAAAAGTTTGTACCCAATTTATTCAACTTTTGAAGCATTGGTTGTGCAACCTGCGGTGAGGTGTTGTTATGGACAAGAATTGGGCCCTTTCTGTTGACCAATGCCAGGTGCAGACATTGCAATTTTTGGTGCATCTTATCAATTTGCTGAGGATACTTCTCAAGTGTAATGGTTTTTCCGGGATTCAGAAAGCTGTGGTGGATCAGACTGGCAGCAGACCATCAAAGAGTGACCATGACCTTTTTTTGGTGCAAGTTTGGCTTTGGGAAGTGCTTTGGAACTTCTCGGTCCAACCATTGAGATGGTTGTTGGCAGTTGTCATATAAAATCCACTTTTCATTGCATGTCACAATCTGATCAAGAAACGGTTCATTGCATAGAATAAGAGATGACACTTTAAAATGACAATTTAAAAAAAGTTTTGCTCACTTCATGAGGCACCCACTTATCAAGCTTTTTCACCTTACCAATTTGTTTCAAATGCTGAACAACTGTAGAATGGTCAACCTTGAGTTCTTTGACAACTTCTCGCCTAGTTGTAAGAGGATCAGTTTCGATGATTGCTCTCAACTGGTGATTGTCAACTTCTGATGGCCCACCACTATGCTCCTCATCTTCAGGGCTCTTGTCTCCTTTGCAAAACTTCTGGAACCAACACTGCACTGTATGTTCATTAGCAGTTCCTGGGCCAAATGCGTTGCTGATGTTGCGAGTTGTCTCTGCCACTTTACAACCCATTTTGAACTCAAATAAGAAAATCTCTCTAATCTGCTTTTTGTCTAACACCATGTGGATAGTCTAAAATAAATACCAAATAAGTATCAAGTAATAAGTAATTAGCAAAAAGCATAAAGTGAAAACGTGCATTAAAATGATGTATAACATAACCACATTTACTTAAGAATGTATTTCAATACCAAATGGCAAATTTCAACAATGCAAAAACTGCAAATACATTTGCATTAACCTAATATTCCTATCAAACTCCTAACGATGTTTTTCACAGAATTAGAAAAAACAATATTTTACAATTCATATGGAACCAAAAAAGAGCCCGAATAGTCAAGGCAATTCTAAGCAAAACGAACAAAGCTAGAGGCATCATGTTACCCAACTTTAACCTATACTGCAAGGGTACAGTAACTAAAACAGCATGGTACTGTACAAAAACAGATATAGACCAATGGAACAGAATACAGAGCCAGGAAATAATGCCACATACCTACAGCCATCTGGTCTTTGACAAAGCTGACAAGAACAAGCAACGGGGAAAGAACTCTTTATTCAACACATGGTGCTGGGGATAACTGGCTTGCCATATGCAAAAGATTGAACTGGATCCCTTCCTTATATCATATACAAAAATCAACTCAAGATGGATTAAAGACTTAAATATAAACCTAAAGCTATAAAGCCCCTGGAAGATAACCTAGGAAATATTATATCATCCTAGTCATATGACTTCGCAAAGATTTCATGATGAAGATACCAAAAGCAATTTCAACAAAATCAAAAATTGACAAATGAGACCGAATTAAAGAGCTTCTGCACAGCAAACGAAACTATCAACAGAGTAAATGGATGATCTACAGAATGGGAGAAAATATTTGCAGACTGTGTATGCATCAAAGGTCTAATATCCAGAATCTATAAGGAACTTAAACTTACAAGCAGAAAACAGATAACTCCATGAAAAAGTGGGCAAAGGGCATTAACAGACACTTTTCAGCAAAAGGTGTACATGTGATCAACACGCATATGAAAAATGCTCAACATCACTAATCATTAGAGAAATGCAAATCAAAACTACAATGAGATACCATCTCACACCAGTCAGAATGGTTATTATCAAAAGTCAAAAAATAACAGATCCTTACGAGGCTGCTGAGAAAAGGGATTGCTTCTATGCTGCTGGTGAGAGTGTAAATTAGTTCAGCCATCATGGAAAGCAGTATGGTGATTCCTCAAAGAACTTAAAACAGAACTTCCATTTGACCCAGCAATCCCATTATTGTGTATATACCCAAAAGAATAGAACTCATTCTGTCATAAAGACACATGCACACAGATGTTCATTGCAGCACTACTCACAATAGCAAAGACATGGAATCAACCTAAAGGTTCATCCAACAGTAAGCTGGATGAAGAAAATATAGTACATATACATCATGGAATACTATGCAACCATAAAATAATGCGATCATCATCACAGTTTGCACATAACTGTTTAACAAACCTGTACATGTCCCCATGAACCTAAAATAAAAGCTAAAGAAAAGAAATATGAAGGAACATAACAACTATGATAACTTTGAAATGCATAAACTATCACACACAAGAGAAAAGCTGAGTCTTTGTCTACAGAAGTTGTAAAAACTGTTATAGATAATCTTTGACCTGAGAATTAAAGGATGTGTGAGGATTAGCCAGGCACTCAAGATTTATTTCAAATAATAGATGTTGGTGAGGCTGCAGAGGAAAGGGAACACTTATACACTGTTGGTGGGAATGCAAACCAGTTCAGCCACTGTGTAAAGCAGTTTGGAGATTTCTCAAAGAACTTAAAATGGAGCTACCATTTGACTCAGCAGTCCCACTACTGGGTATATACCCAAAGGGAAATCATTTATTCTATCATAAAGACACATGTACCCATTATGTTCATTGCAGCACTATTCACAATAGCAAGGACATTGAATCAACCTAAGCACCCATCAACAGTGAATTGGATAAAGAAAATGTGGTACATATACACCATGGAATACCATGCAGCCGTAAAAAAAAAAACAAAAAAAAAACAACCAAAATCATTCCCTTTATGTAACATGGATGGAGCTGGAGGACATTATCTTAAGCAATTAATGCAAGAACAGAAAATCAAATACTATGTTCTTACTTTTAAGTGGGAGCTAAACATGGAATACGCATGATTGTAAAGATAGAAACCATAGACACTGGGGCTCACTAGACAGGGGAAGGAGGGAGCAGGGCATGGGCTGAACAACCACCTGTTGGATTCTATGCTTATGGCCTGGGTGATCGGATCGTTGGGACCTGAAGTCTCAGCTTCACGCAATTTACCCATGTAACAAACCTGCACAACATGTGCCCTTTAATCTGTAATAAAAGTTGAAATTAAAAAATTAGTTTTGACAAAAAAGGAATAGAGAAGCTCATTTCAGATGAAGGAAAGAGCTTTGGCAAAAGTACACCTGTGCAATTCAGCGTGGTATATTCAGGGAAATATAAAAAGTTCAATTGAACTAGAGTCTAAAGTGCTGGAGTGAATTCGGCCAATTTGGCCAGATGTTTAGTTTGAGAACTATTTCTGAAGGGCTTTGTGTATTGTGTAAGGAACATCGTACATGGTCATGCTGGTGGCAATGTGAGAAATAGGGTAAGGGAAAGAGGTAAGAAGCTAGTAAGCCAGGGAGAGGGCATTGCATTTATTTCTAGGCAATGGATGATGAGGGTCTGCACTGAGGTAGAAGCAATGAGGAGGGAGAGGGGTAGCTGAATCAGACAAATATGTGTGCATTAGAAACTGTGATGCTGACATCTCTCTGTGAATGGCCTTGTTCTAAAGAGACACTTCCTCCCCATTAAATTCATGAGTGCTTCTCAGAGCAACTCATACAATGACATGGTTACAAGGAAAGTGGGAATAAGACCTGCCATCTCACCTTGGGATGGCGCTAAAGGACCATCCAGACTCAGAGCTCCCTGTGGGGTCAGTGAAGGACTTTGTTGAGGATACAGCACAGCCCAACTTCTCCCTCTGCCCCATTTCTCTCTGCCCACGTGGACTGCAAGGGCAGTTTCCACAAACATTCCCGCACACTAATTTCCCTCTCAAAATCTGCTTTTGGAGAACACAAACCATGACAATGTGGGATATAGAAGTAATAGATTTAGAAACTGATTTAATATGAGGCATAGCAAAAATGAGGAACCTAGAATGGCTGTTCCAATCACTGAGATAGAAATACAGTGTGTGGCCAAAATGGGCAAGTGCAAGGATGGAGAGACAGTTCATTTCAGGGGTAAACTGAGTTTGAATTGCCTGTGGAGCATCCAGCTGGAAGTGTCCAGTAGATAGTTGAATTTGCCAGGCAGGAACCTGTGAAAGAAGTTGTCATGACAATGAATGGGAAGGTTGAGGAAAAATATGTATACTGAGGAAAAAGGAGGGCAGAAGGAAAAATCCTGGGGTAATCTATCAGAAATGTCCAGGAGACAATTAATTGGGATAGTTAATAGCTTATGAGGAAAGAATTATTGCTGATAAGACTTGACGAGGTGTGCATAGAAAGCAGGAAACAAAACTCTGGAGAAACCTGCTTTTTAAATAGAAAGCAGATGAGAAAGAATCCCTAAGCGTAACATTCTTTTCACATGAGAACAGGTAGAAAAGGGAACAAGTTGGATTCTTTCTTTCTGAACAGTCACCAAGTCCCATGGATTCTTTTGCTGAAATAATTGAGGCTTGTGGGACAAGAAGACAAAACCCATGAGGACGACATCAACTTGACTCTCAGGAAGACTTTTACATCAAGCTCTGGCAGTCCTTGATCAATGTGCCTGGGCCTCCCTGGCTCCTAAAAGAACTCCCACGGCAGGGGAACCAGGGAATTATTCCAGTGCCTGGAAAGAAAACAGGCACCTCCAAGCTCCTAGCTTTGACCTCATACTGGGGACAGGGAATTTTATTTTTTGAAATTCAGTACATCCAGATAATATTGCAAGTCTGTCTGCATCTGCACGTTAAAATGAATCTCAGCAGAGATGAAAGTGTGGGGTAGTAGATGAAAAATTACTTTTGTAAATCAGTCTCTGATACTTGAACTTTAGCTTCTGAGTCAGATTTAATGATAATTAAATTTACTTACAGTGAAGTTTTAGAAAACAAGCTAGTTATTTTGTTTTTAGTAGAAAGGCAATCAAATATAGAGCTAAATGGTGGAGCTGAGCTTGGAAGAACTGGGGCAGAGAAAGGTTAGACAGGATAAAAGAGTTGTCTGTGGGAACAGAACAAAGTGTGGGATATTGCAAAGCAGGTGGAGATAATGGCAAAGAGACTATAAAAACTACGTTGTATTGAGCTTATAAGAAATGCTCTTGTTGAAAATCATGAGCTTCTGTCAAATGCTCAAGTTCATTCTCCTGAAAGGTCACCATTGGGCTAGCTCCCTAGGAAGAATAAAATAGGGGAGATTGATTCTGTGGTTTCAGATTCATCACATGGCTTGAGGACATTGATCCAAAGTGGCCCTTAGCTCACACTACCTAAAACCACTGAAAGCTCTAAACACCCCACATCCCACAAACCACATCCAGGTACCCTTCAGAGCAAACAACTCACCCATGTGTCTGTCTTTCTGTGTAGAGAGCAGGTGGCCAAGAAGCACTGTGGAAATCACTGGTGGCACTGAAGTAACCTAGAAGCTGTCTGGTTGGGGGTGGCAGGCTCTAGGGACAGGGAGAATTTAGCCTGTTCCTGTCAAGAGACACTGTATCCATCAGAGATCTCTCTTTTGTTTATATATTTTGACATCAAAGGAGCAATAGATCAACCGTAGCCCCAGTCCTGGGTCTTGTCGATACCAGTACATTCCATCATGACCCTTAGTCTGAGAACATGCCAGCATAATCCTCTTTCCTGTCTTTGTGATCCTATTCCTTGGGGTCTGGATAACATCAGCATCCATGGACCCTGTGGAGAAATAAGACAGAAACTGAAGACAGAGACTGGTAAATGTCTTCAAGCTGCAATCTCTATGGATAGGCTTAATCCAGAACCTGGAAAATTTAAGGCAGTGATTTCCCCATCTGTTTTCCAAACTCACCTGTTCCCAGGAGACAAAAGGCCACACAGAAGAGGAGCAGGGAGGCCATGGCATGAAGAGGAATGATGGAGGTGTTTCCAGCTCTGGATGTTGAGGGAAGCAGGGCATGGAAATAGAAAACTAGGAGGATTCAGGAAGTGATGTCATTGTCCCTTCCAAGGTACTGGGTCTTAAAGATGCCATGTTGGCTTATGTATTAGATGTTCTTAGCAGATGCTGAAATTCCTGTACTTGCTTCTCTTCTCTCTCTGGTGCTTTACTGACAACCACCAGAGAGTTGTATCTCTCCCCTTTCTCAAGGCATATCTATTTCAGTTGTTCAAGGAGACATCATCCTCCTGATAAAGCAGGCTGGAGAAAATTCAAA
Organism: Homo sapiens; assembly: GCF_000001405.40. Classification (NCBI taxonomy): domain Eukaryota; kingdom Metazoa; phylum Chordata; class Mammalia; order Primates; family Hominidae; genus Homo; species Homo sapiens. The sequence continues at coordinate 33,648,812 of NC_000009.12, read as the reverse complement.
ACCAAGTTGAATTTTGAATAAAGGGAGTCTAGTCTCACTTGAATGATAGGACAATATAATTGTTCTCCTTTTTTTTCTGTGCTTAATCATTTATTCTAACTCGGTTCTTGGTAAACTATGCAATTTGAATACATTCTCTGTAAAGTTTGAGACTTTTTTGTTTTAAGAATGACAGGATTCCTAACTTTGTTTCAAATTGCTCCAATTTTTTAGTGGCTCCTGCTTTTCTGGTCAGTGTTTTCTGGGCACAGAGCTTTATTAAAAATATTGGTTTATTGTAGAAAGGTGTTAGTTTAATGTGGGTATGTGCTTCAAAGAAGCACTTAACACCTTCATTCCTATTTTGAATTAGCTGAAAATACAGTGGTTCATTAAATAATTCATTTTATTCTAAATAAATTATTCCTGACTTTAGGAGGCAAGAGTTTAATATTTAATGCAGCAGATTGCAAGCACAGAACAGTTATAGTGATAGTGTGAGATATTGTCCAATGTAATAAACAACTGGCTCTTTGCTGCTTCAGATCTGTGCTTGTCCTGGTGAAAAAGGAGAGTTCCCTGACCCCCCTGGAAGGACGTGCAACAGGAGTGTTGCTCACCTCTTCGGTTGCTGCAGGGGCTCAAACCCCTGAGGGGAAAGGGAACACGCAGACGGACAGATGCAGGAGCCCAAGTGTGCAGATAGTTCTGCCATCCGCGCACGGCTTGAGTGTTAACCAGCTCAGTGGACCCTCTGCCTTTCTGCAAAGGCGGAGGGCCGGTGTGACAGCTTTCTGTATCCCGAGCTCTTGCCCAGTGTCCTGGAAGAATTGGGTCACACACGGGCTTGAAGGATGAATGTGGGGTTTTATTGAGTGGTGGCAGTGGCTCTCAGTGGGTTGGATGGGGAGCTGGAAGAGGGGATGGGGTGAGAAGATGATCTTCCCCTTGGAGTTTGGCCATCCAGGGACTGAACTCTTCTCTGACCACCCCCAGCTGAACTCCTCTCGCGGTTCAGACGTTCCTCCTCTTTTTCTCTGCCATGTCGTTTCGCCCTCCCTCTGCTTGTCTCCTAGCCTGCTTGCCTGCCTCTGAAGCCTGGGGTTTGGGGTTTACATGGGTACAAGAAAGGGGGCATGGTGGGTCAAAAGACAACTTTTTGGGGATGAAAACAGGAATGCCTGTCCCTATTTACAGCTGCACGTCTCCAGGCTTGAGGGTGGGGCCTTTGCTGGGAAACCACCCTTTCTACCCAGTACTTCTGTCTCCTGTCCATATCACTGTCACTGGCTCTCCCTCACGCATGGGTACACCATGGCATCCTACCCTAATCATTCCTGCTGCATGTCAAATTGGTAAAGTCTTATTTTTAGATATTTTTACTTTTAATTCTAAAAATTTCAAACATATACAAAGTAGGCTTAATAAAATAATGAGCCTTTGTGTCCTCACATGAGTCATCTTTGGCAATTACCAACTCCTCATGGCCTCTCTTGTTCATCTGCCACCTCCTTCACCACTTCTGCCTCTTCTGTGTAATTTTGAATAGTTGTTGCTTTATTTAGGAGTACCCAAGCAAATTTTTTTTATTTTTAATTTTTTTAATTTTTTTTTTTTGAGACGCAGTCTCGCTCTGTCACCCAGGCTGGAGTGCAGTGGCGCAATCTCGGCTCACTGCAAGCTCCACCTCCCGGGTTCACGCCATTCTCCTGCCTCAGCCTCCCGCGTAGCTGGGACTACAGGCGCCCGCCACCACGCCCGGCTAATTTTTTTGTATTTTTAGTAGAGGCGGGGTTTCACCATGTTAGCCAGGATGGTCTCGATTTCCTGACCTCGTGATCCGCCTGCCTCGGCCTCCCAAAGTGCTGGGATTACAGGCTTGAGCCACCGCGCCCGGCCCCCAACCGCATTTTACAGCTATTGTCTACACTCCAGATGACATATTCCAGTGTCCCCTCCCTTTTTCTCTTTCTGGTTAGGGTTCTCTGTTAGCAATATGAATAAAAATGTGGATTTGTTCCAGTAAATGGCTTAGCCAGGGGTCTGATGAATATAAACAAGACGATGATCATAAGAACTTTTATTTTGGGTTTGTCTTCAATGTAAAAAAAAAATCATTGCCCTTATTTGCATTTCTTAAAGTAAACATGCTGTTTTGCTGTCCCCTGCTGTGGGCACTAATCTGAGTGGAATTAATATTTGGGAGCTGAATATGAACTATTCGTGGTGATCACACTAGTTGAGAGAAGAGGGGACTCATATCCAGTGGTTGAGAGACCGTTTTCCTGGGCATTTCTAACAGAAGTTTGTAGGTGCAGAGCAAGGAAAGGAGAAGCAGATATCATTCTGGGAGCAGAATCTATGCCCGAGGAGGAGTGAGTGAGCATTATCAGAGGAATGAATGGAGGGGACACACATTTGCCTGGGAAGGAAATTGAAAAAGGCATCCCAATTTCTGGTCAAATGAGAG